>NT_187554.1:0-152148 GCF_000001405.40 Homo sapiens
ACAATATACACAGAGCCCAGGAATTATTTCACATTGCCTAAATTACAAAGTTTGAGTTACTAAATTCTTTGTGTTTTGTATTATTGCAACTATAACTTTGCACTGATGAATATAGTATTCTCTGTATCTGAAAGGTATGATATGCAACAATTTTTGGAGTGATGGTGGGCAATATAAGGAAAACCACAAAAAAGCAACAACAAAACATACACATATCATTGACATAAAATTTTCTGTATATTATTTTAATATCTAATGATAAAAACCATTTACTTTAAGACATCTGTAAATGTTAGGAAAATAAACAAAACTCTAACCTTTGCCATTTATGCACAATACACAGTATTAAAGAATGTGTTAACATATCTATGCAATGTCTGTTCATTGTAATTCTACAGGGCCTTTTCTTTTCCCAAGGTAGTTTCCTCCAGAGAGAAGACCTTGCAGTTGCTGCATTTGTTCCTGCTGAATGAGAAGGTCATTATATTCATAGTAACAGATGTTGCACCTGATGGTTCATCTTTTACATTTAGGAAACTTTTACCCCAAAACAGGCAGTTTTATGAAACATCAATAATTTTACAAAATAAATGTTCATCCCATAAACTCTTTTCTTAAAAAAAACATAAACATGCTTTTATTCCACAAATCTAATGTGATTATTATTATAAGTTGGCCATAATTTCAAAACTTTAAAATTTCACTACCTGAAAATGAATGAGCATTTTCTTCAAATACTCATTACTTACTTCAAATCTGGAATTATTTGCATGTAGCTTTTTTTCTTTTAATTAAGTGTAACTTGATCTTGAATTCTAATAGTAGTTAAACTGATGGTTAACCATATTTTTATATTTGGTTGTTATGTTCCTGAGTGTGACAGGTGCTCAAACTTTCCCACATCATTATAATCAGGGAATAAATCTTACTTTCACTAAACCTTCAAAAAGAGAGGAAAGCTGAAATACATTGATCAAAATTAATCTTGTCACATCAAATTGTATTAGCTATCTGAAATCTTTGATGAACTTTTAGAGAAAGTCAAAATGAAAATAACTCAGAGCCTGAAGACCACTCTATGTACAATTTACATTCACTATACCTCTTTCAGCAAATATTTACTGGGCATCCACCATGTGCCTTGTACCTTATCCTATGCTCAGTTCTGGATATAAAATGGTGTTGAAGATCAACTTCAATGGAAAGCACAGTCTGAAATGGAGTTAGCCTTCTGAGAGGCAAAGGGGCTTGAACTTATTATGCACTGGCCAGTCATTGGATGCAGCAGCCCCTAAAAAGAAGGCATGACTTTGAGGAAGGTAGCCAGCCAAACTCTAGAAGCTAGGGATATATGTGCTTCAGTCCTAAAGCTGAGAACTGATCAACACAGAGTCTATGCAATCCCTTCTATCAGAGAATGTAAGCATAATTATATAATATATATTACACACAAGCTTCCTTGTGGTCCTGTTATTGATTTTTAATTCCTTTTAATGAAGTAACTGGTAAAATTCCTGAAAGATAAGTCTTAGATCTGGTCTGATTTGATTCACCTTCTCATGTTTATTCCATTGTTAGGTAAGTATGAGTAATATCTTCACATATTAATTCTGAAAAAATATTAATTCAGCTATGGCCTTAACACATTTTCTTCAATAGAAAAATAATGTGCTACTATATTTATTGCATCTTATTGGGGTACAGGAAAATTTATGTGCATAATAGAGTATTCATAAATTTTTTGAAATGGGGAGTAAGTAATATTATGATGTTCCATTTAGAAGCATGTTAATAAAAATGATTTAAATATAGTGTCATAAAGAATGGTATTACACAAAGTTATCTGAAGCAGGCACTTGCTATTAATTTAAGGAGAATCATGTGGATATTCCTACATCAGTTACTACATGTAATTTTAAATGACCATTTAACCTTTTTATGGATTCAACTACTGTTGGTCTAGAATGAGATTAAGGGTTGTTCAAATATGATCTAAACAGAGATGTTTAAAACTATTTGTAACTGCATGTGATCCTGCAGTTATCTGACAAAAAGTCACCCTTCAGGGGCATTGACCTCCAGGATATGTTTTGCATGCTCAAAGGAACAAGAGATAATAGAGGTTTTAATGCAGCTATTCGGAAACTAACAGAGCATTTTAGACCTCAGAAAAAATTGTTCCCTCTGAGAGACATATGCCCATGGAGATGAATGAAGAGCATGGTTAGCCTGTTGAGTCCTTGGTTAACTGCCTGACTTGCTAGTCTCATCACATGATTTAAGGCATAAAAATTAGACCCTGCTATAGAGTTGAATATATACCGGGTTCATTTTCCGGGGCTAGCCCACAAGGAGATTAGCAGCCTAGGATTTTATTTCATTGGGGGTATGTAAGTTATTAGACCATGAAGGTAGTATACTAGCAAGATAGATGTCCTCCTTTGTATGTCAAGCAAATCTAGAAGCAAGAAAGCCAAAAGGCTTAGAAAAATTTGATCAGCAATGTGCAGATATTGAAGAACATTTTCTCAAACCTCTGCTATGATAACTCTGGCAGTGTGTTCAAGAGTACTTGGCACTCAGAAAAGCAAAGTCACTCTTGCATCTCCAATATCTATTGACATCAGAACATATTCACGTTATGCACCAAATATTTAATATAAATAAAATGAGTAAATGCCATTGAACTGGAGTCACTTTCACAAAGTCTGATTTGAAGCTGAATTTAGAACATTCCTCTACAGCATAAAATACTTATGGTTCTAAACAGTGACAGAAAACAAAACATTTTGAATAATATTTCATGTGTGCTTCAAAGAAACTTCAAATAAATTAGCTTATAATATGTAAAGCACACCAAAATGAACTAGATTAGTTGTATCTAGAGATGGAGGAGCCCTATATAAATGAAACAAATATAACTTTCATAGCAAAATCTACCACAAATAGATAACACCTGTTGAGCAACTATAAGTTAGAGAAAGTTATTGGAGAGCTCAACTGTTTTGCTATTAATTCTGTAAAAAAAGTATTTTTCACTAAGTTATACATTTTAAGACTATGCCATTTTTACTTATCTGGATGCTGTGTGCCTGGCTTTTTCTTTTGGGCTTTTGGCTAATTGTATCAAGAGAAAACAGCTGTGATCACCCAAGATGAGTGTAGAAAAACAGGCAAAGCATTTCCAAAGATTTAGGGAAGAAAAGAGAGCATGCTATAGCAGCAGCATGAGTGAAGCCAGCGCAATGTTTCCATACATCAGCAAATAGACTGAGAGTCTCTGACTTTAACCTGTTTCATTCTGAAGGCAGCTCTGAGAGCACTGTCCACTGGTTATACTCATATCTCTTTCTAATGAGCATCCTCAGAAAAGTAGGTATATAACTGCACCTAATCACTGAGAGTAATAATTGTACCTATAAAAAGGACTCTTTGTGCCATCTGGATATCACGTACATATATAAATATTTTCATAAAAATTAACTTGCCTGTAATCCCAGCACATTGGGAGGCTGAGGTGGGCAGATCACGAGGTCAGGAGTTCAAGACCAGCCTGGCCAATATGGTGAAACCCTGTCTCTACTAAACATACAAAAAATAGCGGCATGTGGTGGTGCGTACCTGTAGTCCCAGTTGCTTGGGAGGCTGAGGCAGAAGAATCACTTGAACCTGGGAGGCAGAGATTGCAGTGAGCCGAGATTGTGCCATTGCACTCCAGCCTGGGTGACAAGGCAAGACTAAATAAATAAATATATAAAAAATAAAATAACTTTAGTAGTCTGTCCAGTGAGTAGGTTCAAACAACACATTACAAAAAGAGTAGGGTACTGGCATAAAAACAGACATAGAACAGTGGAATAGAATAGAAAGCCTGTTAATAAACCCAAGGATATATGGTCAGCTAATTTTTCACAAGGTCACCAAGACGCAATAAAGAAATAATAGTCTTTTCAGTAGATGGTATTGGGAAAACTGGATATTCACATGTAAAAGAAAAAATTTAGTTATTACCTTACACTATACACAAAAATCTACTCAAAATAGATTAAAGACTTAAACACAATAACTAAAATCATAAAACTCATAGAAGAAGATACAGGGAAAAAGCTCCCTGATATTGATCTTGCCAATGATATTTTGGACATTACATCAGAAGTTCAGGAAACAAAAGCAAAAATAAACAAATGGGTCTATATATAACTAAGGAATCAGCAGCAAAGGAAGCCATCAACAAAATGAAAAGCTGGAAGATCAGGAGAAAATATTTGTAAACTATATATCTCATAAAAAGTTAATACTCAAAATATATAAGAAGAGAGTACATGCTTGATATGGTTTGGCTGTGTCCCCACCCAAATCTCACCTTGAATTTTAGTTCCCATAATCCACATGTGTCAAGGGAGGGAAGAAGTGGAGGTAATTGAATCATAGGGGTGGTTTTCCCCATCCTGTTCTTGTGATAGTGAGTTAGTTCTCATGAGATCTGATGGTTTTATAAGGGGCTCCCCCCTTTGCTGGGCACTCATTCATTCTCCTTCCTGGTACCCTCTGAAGAAGGATGTGTTTGCTTTCCTTCCACCATGATTATGAGTTTCCTGAGGCCTCCCCAGTCATGTGGAACTGTGAGTCAATTAAACCTCTTTCCCTTATAAATTACTCAGTCTCAGGTATTTATTAGCAGTTGGAGAACAGACTAATACAACATGCAATAAAAAAATTAAAAATTAGCAAAGTTCTTAATGGACAGCTTTTCAAAAAAGACATACAAATGGCCAACAGGTATACAAAAATGTGTTCAACCTTACTAATCGTTAGGGAAACACAAATAAAAAGGACAATGAAATATCACATCAAACCTATTAGGACTGCTATTATAAAAACTACAAGTGTGGAGGAAAGGAAACCCTTCTACACTGTTGGTAAAAATATAAGTTGCTAAAGCCATTATAGAAAATAGTATGGAGAATCCTCAAAAAAAATAAAATTGTTTTTAATAATTATAAATATAATTATAATTATATAAACCAGCAATCTTTTTCCAGGTGTATACCCAATGGAAATAAAGTCAGCACTTCATAGAGTTAGCTGTATTCCCATGTCTGTTGCAGCATTTTTCATGGTAGTCAAGATAAACAACCTAAGCATATATTGTTGGATAAATGGATAAAAAAACTGAGATATATATAAAAACTGACTCAAATGTTAACCTCCTTTGGCAACACTCACATAGGCACACCCAGGAACACTACTTTTTATTCTTCAATCCAATCAAGTTGACACGTAATATCAACCATCACACAGCTCAATCTTGGATTAAAATCAGAAAGTTTTTGAGCTCATGAGATGATAGAGTTTATTAGCAGTTTAAACAAGTCTGTGAAACTAATATTTGCAATTGACTTATTTACTATAAATTCCGCCTCCTAACAATGCCCTTTTGGAGAAAAAATACATGAATAATAAGGATTACCTATTATAATTTGATTTAGATTTCCATTTGTCCCATATGTTAAGCAGGTGGACAAATAAGGTTGAACATATTTTGTCTTGTTTTTTTCATTATGTGGAAAATAGCAGTCATTATTTTTTTCTTAAATAACATTTTAGAATATACTAAAATTCTGAGTCTCATGAAATAATTTCCCTTGGATCATTATTGACATAATGTAGAATATATAAGACAAATTATTGCCTAAAATATAAACTTTGTACATAGATGGTTTTTTAAGTTTGTAAATTATTGGATGATAACTAATTGGTTATCTAGCATAGGCTCATGCCCTTGTTTTATTCTGTAACATATTTATTAATTCTGTTTTCAATGCTTATTTGATCTACTATATGATCTAGCAACAAAGAACTAGATAATATATGGATAGTGAGACAATTGGGATCTTGACGAAATGATAGTAAAAAATATATATTTGTACTTCCCTTAAGATGAAATATTATCCAAAGTAAAATGCAGTGTTTTCTTCTCTTTAAAAAAGCATTTTATATGTGTGTTATACATTTATAACTGGCATAAACTATAATTGTTATGTGTGTATAACTGTTACATATGCATAATATACAATGGTTATTATGTATAACTCTAAAAACTGGCATAAAATTTTGTATATGTGTGTTATATAGGTGAATATATAACACATATTAGTAAATGTTTTAAACTAAATAAACTTTTAGTTTAAGATTTTGCTATTTTCCAATAATATGACAGCATCATTGAATATTTAAAAATAATAGAGAAATGGATGAAACTAATGGTCTATAGTATAGTTTGAAGTCAGGTAATGTGATGTTCCAGATTTGTTCTTTTTGCTTAGTCTTGCTTTGGCTATGTGGGCTCTTTTTCTTTTCATTTGAATTTTAGGATTTTTTTTGAGTGCTGTGAAAAATGATGGTGGTATTTTGATGGGAATTGCGTTGAATCTGTAGATTTCTCTGGGCAGTATGGTCATTTTCACAATACTGATTCTTCTCATCCATGAGCATGGAATGTGTTTCCACTTGTTTGTGTCATCTGTGATTTCTTTCAGCAGTGTTTTGTAGTTTTCCTTGTAGAGATATTTACCCTCCTTGGCTAAGTATATTCCTAAGGTTTTGTTGTTATTGTTGTTTATTTGTTTGTTGGCTTTTTCAGCTGTTGTAAAAGGAAATGAGTTCTTGATTTGATTCTCAGTTTGGTATTTGTTATATAGTAGTGCTACTGATTTCTGTACATTGATTTTATATCCTGAAACTTCACTGAATTCATTTATCAGATCTAAGAGCTTTTTGGATGAGACTTTAGAGTTTTCTAGATATATGATCATATCACCAGTGAACAGTAACAGTTTGACTTCCTTTTTCCCCTATTTGGATGCCCTTTATTTATTTGTCTTTTCTGATTGCTCTGGCTAAGACTTCCAGGTCTGTTTGAACAGAAGTGATGAAAGTGAGCATCCTTCTCTTATTCCAGTTCTCAGGGGGAATTCTTTCAACTTTTTCCTATTCCAAATGATGTTGGCTGGGAGTTTGTCATGTATGGCTTTTATTACTTTGAGTTAAGTCTATTCTATGCCTATGTTGTTCAGGGTTTTTATCATAATGCGATGCTGAATTTTTTCAAATGCTTTTGTGGCATCAATTGAGGTGATCATATGAAAACCCATATTTTATTTAGTATTTTTGTGTGCAATAATTCCAAGGTTTGTAAAATAAATATTTTATACATATTTTGAAATATTAAATAATATTTTTGTGCATTGTTCATTGAGTACAATCTTTTATTTCATTAATGTATATAGAATGCTTCGAAAAAGACAAATGCATTAGTGAAGGAAATTTAACATCATGAAATTTAGTCTAATATTCTAAAACACAAGTTCTCATGTAGAAATATTAATCAATTTACTTTCATTTTAAACTAAATAAGAGATGCCTACAGTTAAAGAGAAATCGCCCCTTCTACCAGATGTGCATGTTATAGTTGGCAATTTTCTAGGCTGATATCAACATTCCACAGACTTACTTTTTATTTAAAAAATGTACTCAATGCCTCTGGGTGTATCTACAAAGCAGCAAACAAAAAAAATGTTTATTTTTAGTACAGAAATATTAGCAAATTTTAGTTTATTTGCATATTTGACTAAAAATAAGTCATCTTAAACTGTCAAAAGAAGAGAAAGTATCTCCTTTCATACTAAAGGACAGAGTGAAAAAGTTTAACTCTGGAGTTTGCCAGGAAATTATTTGGCATTTAATGAACATAAAGTGAATGAATGAAGAAATGAATGAGCAAAAAATATAAATAGGTGGCAATACATACCTAATACAGAAAGTTGCTTGTTATAAACATAGCAAAGCTCCACACTAATAGAAAATAATCTGACTAAATTTTGATTTGGCCTGATGACTATTTTCTCTCAAACTGTAAAAGAAACAAGAAGAGGAATTAACATTCTCTGATGTTAATTATATTTGACAGAAAGAAACCATTTACGGAGATGAAGCAATATGGACTTTAAAGAAATTTCCCAAGAAGTTTTGGAAAGAAGAGGTTGCTAGAATGTAAGGGAAAAACAATTATGGATAAAGGAAGAGAGAAGTACTTTGGCAGAATTTATAAACAAACTCTGCCAAAGAAAGGTGAAACTCTAAGAAAGTATACTTTCTATAAGACCATAATGAAGAAGTAGAGAGACACATACAGAGTATGATGTGATTGACCAGGAAACTCTTATGAGTAAAAAGTACTGTCAGTTATAACTCTTTTCATTATTTTAACAGACTGATTGAGGTATAATTGACTAATAAAATTGTATACTTCAAACATATACATGATGATTCAATACATGTATGAACTGTGGAAATATAGAATTCAGAAAATTTCAAGTATACAGTACAGTATTATTAACCATAGTCACCATGCTATACACAGATCCCCTTCTTGCATTTCAGTCTTTCACATTCCATATTCAACTCTGTTTCTATAAGTGACTTTTTTAGATTCCACATGTAAATGAAATCATGTAGTATTTTTCTTTCTTTGCTTGACTTATTTCACCTAGCATAATACCTTTCAAATTTCAACCATGTTGTCACAAGTAGTAGGATTTTCTTCCTTTTGTATGGAAAAAAGGAGATCCTTTTGCACTGTTGGTGGGAATGTAAAGTGGTACAGCCATTATGGAAAACAGTATGGAGGTTCTTCAAAATATTAAAAATAGAACTACCATACAGCCTAAAAATCTCACTTCTGAGAGTGCAAAGAAAAGAAAATCAACATCTCAAAGAAATATCTGCATTCCCATGTTCATTTCTGTACTATTAACAACAGCCAAGACACAGTTAATGATTCCTATGCCTCCTCATATCCCCAGAACCTAATATGGCCTGAATAATGTAGGCACTTAATAATGTGTATAAAGGGGAAATCAGGATTAAGACAATGATCCTCATGATTAATCATTATTGACCTGTCTCTCAGGGGTCCTGACTGATTTTTTGTTTTTTTTTTTTTGAGATGGAGTTTCACTCTTGTTGCCCAGGCTGTAGTCCAATGGCACCATCTCAGCTCACTGGAACCTCCGCCTCTCGGGTTCAAGCAATTCTCCTGTCTCAGCCTCCTGAGTAGCTGGGATTACAGGTGCCCACCATTATGCCCGGCCAATTTTTGGTATTTTTAGTAGAGATGGGGTTTCACCATGTTGGCCAGGCTGGTCTTGAACTTCTGACCTCAGATGATCCGCCCACCTCGGCTTCCCAAAGTGCTGGGATTACAGGCATGAGCCACTGCACCCGGCCATGTCCTGACTGATTCTTTACTTGAACTTTGACATTCTTTGACCATTTTGCAATTCAATGGTAAATGTACTAGGCGGGAAGATAGAAAAAGAAAATCCTGTGAGTCTTAAACCATGCAATGTGACAAATGATAAGCACTTATCTAACATGTAAATTAATAAAGGAACTGAGGATCAACTAAATATTAAAATTTATAATAGCAAACACTTTAATTTATACAATGCATGCAATTTCTGTTTCTCACCATCATACAATGGTAAGATTTGTGTTAATTTGATCATGAAAGAAGAAAAATAACAGAGTCAAATCAAAAAAGCACTTGCTGAACAAAAAGCCACCCAAATTTATACCTAGTAACTAATGATCAAACTATTTTGTATTAAAAAAATCTATTTTTTGTGTGTATATAGTATAATATTATTTGCTTCTATTAGGGGCAAATGAGAACGCATGGTACAACATGTAAATTAATGAGAATTGTTCACGATGAGCATTATGTAGGAAACAATAAATAATATATAATTAATAATAACATTCTATAAAGAGTTTTTTTATAAAGGAAAAACTGAATCCTTGTAACTGCATGTCGGGGAACACTGAAAATATAAGTGCTTCCTGCCTCTGCAGATATTATTATACTATTGTAAAGCTAAGACTCACCTAGATGAAAGTAGAAAGAACTATGAAAGTGTAATAAAAAATAGAACAGGCTAAACATATGTGTAAGTACTGAAATATGTAAAAGAGATACTTGTCTGGGTGCATATAAGGAGGAACTAATGCATTGTAAAAGTATTTTAGAAATTGATGGTCAATTTCATGGTGAGTAGTGAAACATCAAAATATCTAAAATGTGGATTGATATTTCAGACAGAATTTCATGTGTCAAATGAAACCATAATTGTAGCACATCTGCTTCACTGATAAAATCTCACTCTTAAAGGGCTAAGGTTTTTCAGTCACGGATGAACATTTATAAGAAAGTAAGTGACTTTCACTGACTAAAGTCATACAGAGTAATTTACAGTTAAATGTTTATTTACCGATTTTTTAATAGGGAGTATTTCTTCTAATGAGCAGAATTATATATATTCTCCATCCAGGATACTGTTTTTGAGATAATTACATGGAACATTAAATTATCCAATAAAAAGGTTTCCTTGGTGAATAAAGAATGGAAAAAAAAGAAAGGAATAAAGGAAGGAAGGAGGGAGGGAGGCAGGGAAGGAGGGAGGGAGGAAGGAAGGAAAAAAAGAAAGGAAGGAAAGAAGGAAGGAGGGAGGGAAGGAAGGAAGCAAGGGACAGAAAAGGTAGAAATAAAACCAAAAAATTACTCAAATGGCATTCTCTACAACCTTGAAAACTACTTGGATTATCTGTACCTTAAACTAAAGAACAATCCTTTAGAGTCTGGATTACCCAGAGTCCAGATTAATTTCACTCTTACATTCTGCACTTTGTCAACTTTTCTTTCACTCATTCCCACTTTGGTATTCTAACTACCTACTGTTTTAGTTTCCTATTACCATTGTAAGAAATAATCATAAATGTTGTGGTGTAAAATAATACAAATTAATTATTTTATGATTCTGAAGGGTGGAAGTCCAAGATGTGTTTTGGTGGGCTAAAATCAAAGTGTTTGCAGGGCTGCATTTCTTTCTGTAGGCTCTAGAGGAGAATGCTTCTCTTTCCCTTTTCTAATTTCTAGAGGCTGCACACATTTCTTGGCTCATGGCCCCATTCCTCCATCTTCAAAATCAGCAATAGCATATCAAATCCTTCTCATATTTAGCTCCTTTTTTCCCTCTCTCTTCCACTTTTGAGGACCCTTGTGATTATATGGGGCCCACCAGGATGATCCAGAATAATCTCCTTATTTTAAGGTATATTGATTAGCAATCTTAATCCCATCTGGAATCTTAATTCCCCTTTTTGGTGTGATGTAACATATTCGTAGGTTCCAGGGATTAGTACATTGACATCTTTCAGGATGGGGTCAGTTATTGCTGACCCCACTTACCTTCTATGCTATGTTCTATTTTCTTAATATGGCTCATCAAGTTTCAGCCTAGAAGCTCTTTCTATTGGTTTAAGAGAAATTTTATTTCTTAAATTATGTGACATAGTCAATTCTTCATATAGCTGTTTCTTTTCAACTGTAAGAATCCATAGGAATAATTCACTAAACATTTAATATTGTAACAATAATTATAAGAATCAATCCCTAATGTGAAATAATTTCTGAGCACATAGGCAAATATATCTTTATAATACACAAATAAACCATGCTGCATAATATTAATTCCTACTATTATAGAATTTAAATGATTTTTAAGGCTAGCTGTAAATAAAAATTGTCAAGATTTATTTAGAAATGCAGATGTTCTGACCCTGTCCCAGAGTTACTAAATCAGGATGTCTGAAGATGAACCTCCGATAATTTGTAAAGTGATCAAAATGCAATTTTAATATGTAGCTAGGTCTAAGAATCCTGCATTATTTTATGTAAATATATTGTTAAATTAGATTCTCTATCTTCCACATACTTGATTGATATTTTGCTAAAGGTTACTGAGTTTAGAGATTTCTCTTTCTCATACTATGTTGGTTCTACACATTCCCAGATATGTTGTCTGATATTTATATTCAGTGATAAATGTTTTGGTGAATAGCTCCAGTACTCCTATCTCAAATGTCAAAAAATATTTAAAAATATAATGAATCAAATCCAACAGAAAAAATAAGTCTTAAAATTCCACAAAAGCCCTACAATTTGCTATAGTTTAAGATTGGCATAGATTGACAGTAAAATACAGGATCAGAATTGTTTTCATTATGTGTTTGCTGAATGGCTTTCCATTACCATATGGCAGGTTCTGAATTAGCAGTTGGGATAAATATCATAAATGGTCAATGTAAAAAGAACTTAATGTTCTCGTGATCCAAATTAAACCTTCCGTTGGACAAAGCTGAGGAACACTTTTCTTTAGGCTGAGTTTCTAAAATATGTGTGGTTGTATGATATCAAACCTATATTTTACACACAGTGAGCTTCAACGCTGGGTTATTTCAAATGTGCCTTCATTTACAATTATAAAATAAATGGCTTTAGAGCACAGTTTATTTTAAAAAGTTCACTCAAATAATAATATTTTAATTCAGAAATAATTTCGAGTTACTAACAACTATTTTCCTAAAATAATTTCAATAATCGTAATTGTTAATGTTGTATGACACAATGGGAACAAAGCAGCAATATTGATTATATTTCCCACACATTCACATATTAAGTAACTTTTAACAGAGTGCCTACATTTTATTCTTTAGTTTGTCAAAGAAAAGTTTATGAATTTTTACTGTGCTAACAAAAAAATTTAATAAGTTACAAGACCTTTCTGAAGGCATAGTTGCATTTGACAATGCCTACAGAGAATAAGAAAGAAGCCACTACTATTTTTTTATGAAAGGTCAAATGTTATGTTTTTTCCAATGACTATCACAAAGAAAATTTAAAAAATTGAGAGACCTCAAGGGATGGAATAGCAAATAAAAGAGGAGATGTACGAACAGTTAGGGTGTTAATTATGGAATACTGCAAAATCCAAAGAGATTATTCAGAAATATGGGGCACTATAAGGATTTACGTTTAAAAGCAAGTAATAATTTTGATTGACTTAATATTTGCTGGACAAATGGAGCATTTTGTGTTTCAGAGCTTGTTCTTGATAATAAGTTCATATAGCTTTCAGAAATATAAAAGAAAAATTTACATTTATAGACAGATTAAGTGGGAATAATTTATGTTATAATAAACTACTGCAAGATTTTATAAAGAGACACTCCACCAGTCTGGTTAAGTGTTTATGAATACATAAATATCTACTTGAATCAGAGTCTGACTCTGTGAAGCAGAAGAGCCTAAACCTGAAGTATTTGAAATCCCTACTTAAATGATTTGAAAGTGGAGACACCATTTAAAGTATTATAATGTAATTAATTGGGAAACATATAAGTCCTACCCACTGGAAAAAATGTGATATCTTTGGATGTGAACTTTGATTATCTTATGAATCTTCCTGATGATGTTGATATTGTTCATTATAAAAATAAGCAAGGGGAATAAAGCACTTAAAACATTACTGTTATACAAAAATAATTTTCTCTTGTCTCTAAAGCTATGTACAATTCACCTTGTATATCTGTAGAGATACTCAAATAAATTGATAAAATTTGGAGAGTAATATAAATAGAGGCTTATATTTGACTTTAAAATGCATACAGAGAAATAAAACTGCTTCATATAAGTAAAAGATTAATTTAGGTTGATTAACATATTTAATTTAGAATTACTTCCTTAGTATTAAAAATTAATGTTTAACTTTAAAAATAGACTTTAGAGGTAATTTGTGCTCTGAATGATTGATTTGTGGAGGCTAAATAAACCTGGAAAGAAATACTGATCTGAGAGTTAAAAATACAAAAACATGGCCGGGAGCGGCGGCTCACCACTGTAATCCCAGCATTTTGGGAGGCTGCGAGGGGTGGATCACGAGGTCAGGAGATCGAGATCATCCTGGCCAACATGGTGAACCCTGTCTCTACTAAAATACAAAAAATTACTCAGGTGTGGTGGCACGCGCCTGTAGTCCCAGCTACTCGGGAATCTGAGGCAGGAGAATCACTTGAACCCGGGAGGCGAAGGTTGCAGTGAGCCGAGATCACTGCACTCCAGCCTGGCGACAGAGCAAGACTCCGTCTCAAGAAAAAAATTTTATATATATACATATATATTGTACCTCTAACAGAGATAAGTAAACTCACCTAAAAGTGATGCCCAAGTGAAAGCTTAACCATGAACTGAAGATTCTGTTCTAAATTTTCTTGAAAAGATTATATTTATTAGATATTGGCTTGCCAGAAATGGAAGGGTAGAAGTAGAGAATTATAGAGTTATATACTCACTACATACTCCAGCCCTGTGGAGGGCAGAGGCTACTCTCAACTAATGATGTGGCTGGGAATATGAATTCTGACGTCAGAAGAAATGGATTCAAATACTGAAATACTGACTCATACTTAATCACAGTGTGGTAGGAAGACTTCTAAGATGGTCTCTAAAGATCTCCGTCTTATAGTAGTTATGCCCCTGTGTAATCCTCTTCTCTGGATTGCAGGCTGGACCTAATGATTTGAATATAACCAATGTAATACAGCAAAGGTGATGGGATACCTCTTCCATGATGAGGTTACAAAAGATTGTAATTTCTATCTTGCTAGCAGACCATCTATTGCCTTCTCAACTTCCCTTATATGAGAAAGCAAGCTGCCATGGAGAGGTCCATGTGGCAATGAACTGAACTTGACCTCCAGTCAATAACTTGCAAGGAACTGAATATAGCCAATAACTATTGAATTAGCTTAGAAGCAGATACTTCTCCAGTTGAATCTTCAAATGAGACTGTACTCATTTGGCCAACACTTTTATTACAGTCTCTTGAGAAAACAAGAAGAGGGGACTTAAGTAAAGTGTAGCCAAATTCTTTTTATTTTATTTTATTTTATTTTATTTTATTTTATTTTAAGTTCCTGGGTACATGTGCAGGATGTTCAAGTTTGTTACTTAGTTAAAACTGTGCCAAGGTGGTTTGCTGCACCTATCAACCCATCACTTAGGTATTAAGCCCAGCATGCATTAGCTATTTTTCCTTTCACCCATTCAACAGGCCCCAGTGTGTGTTGTTCCCCTCTCTGTGACTATATGCTCTCATTGTTCAGCCTCAACTTATGAGTGAGAACATGTGGTTTTTCATTTTCTGTTCTTGCACTAGTTTGCTGAGGATAATGGGTTCCAGCTCCATTCACGTCCCTGAAAAGAACATGATCTCATTCGTTTTTTTATGGCTGCATAGTATTCCATGGTGTATATATACCACATTTTCTTTTTCCACTCTATCATTGATGGGCATTTAGGTTGATTCCATGTTTTTGCTATTGTGTCTTTATAATAGAATGATTTATATTCCTTTGAGTATATACCCAGTAAAGGGATTGCTGGGTCAAATGGTGTTTCTGCCTCTAGGTCTTTGAGGAATCACACACTGTCTTCCACAATGGTTAAACTGATTTACATTCCCACCAGCAATGTAGAAACATTCCTATTTCTCTGCCACCTTGCCAGCATCTGTTGTTTCTTAACTTTTTAATAATTACCATTCTGACTGGCATAAGATGGTATCTCATTGTAGTTTTGATTTGCATTTCTCTAATAATCAGGGATATTGAGATTTTTTCATATGTTTGTTGGCGCATAAATGTCTTCTTTTGATAAATGTCTGTTCATGTCCTTTGCCCACTTTTTCATGGAATTGTTTCTTTGTTTTTTTCTTATAGATTTGTTTCAATTCCTTATAGTTTCTGGATATTAGGTCTTTGTCAGATGGATAAACTGCACAAATTTTCTCCCATTCTGTAGGTTGTCTGTTCACTCTGATGATAGTTTCTTTTGCTGTTTAGCCAAATTCTTAACCCACACAAACTGCAGTAATAAACTGGCATTGTGTTAAGCCCCTACGTTTTGTAGTAATTTGTTACACAGCTATAGATAGCTAGTACACGCAGTGTGACCATTAACAAGATTTCTTAATTTCTCAAGCATTTAGTGTTCACATCTATAAAATGACTATAATTAGAATAGCTATGCTACTGTGTGAAAAGCGCTTTATCCTATGAATGGTAGTGACTACTGGAAAATATAGCAGGTCCCAATTAAAAATGCATATCTTATTTGAATAAATTCTGAACTAAATTGAATATAACGCATAGTAAAGCAGATTAGAAAAATTGTCTTAATGTAGATAAAGCTGAACTGAGTCTGAATCATGGTTTATATCTATAGACAGGTATTCTTAAAAATACTGAGTCCTAGATACAGGCAGAATTTTGCAGCCAGTAACAGCAGCACCAGATCTAGAAAGCTCTTCCCACATAGGAGGCTTACTTCTGTAAGATTTACAGCATGGAAAATAAGATAAGCATTTTCATTGTCTGGGATCATCATTTCTAAGAGAAAGAGAGAAGAGAGAAAGAGAGGAAGAGGTTGACCAAGGCTTGTTAATTTTTTTTTTCTTCAAAACATACCAATCAGATCATGGTTTCTCCAGTATAGGAACAGAGCATATGAAAATACAGAAGACATGAAGGGGCCTCAAGATTTATGCTAAAGAAAATCCTTCCATGTGGAAACATTAAGAATAGCTCATAGGAGGCAGAGCAAGGTAGCCAAACAGAAGCCTCCGGTGATTTTCCCTCTGCAAGAACTTTAAATTGAGCAACTATCCACACAAGAAATCATCTGCATAAGAACTGAAAATCAGGTGAGTGATTACAGTATCTGATTTTAACACCCTATCAAGGAAAAGAGGCACTAAAGAGGCTAGGAAAGACAGTCTTGAATTGTCGGCCCCAGCTGTCCCTGATCCCCTGGCAATGGTCATGTGGTTGCATGGTAGGGAGAGAAAATCTGTGTGATAGGGGGAGGGAGAGTGCAGTGATTGTGGGCCTCTGCAGTAGAACTCAGTGTGGTTCTGTAACAGTGGAAAGCAACACAGGGAAGAATTCAGCCAGCACCCAAGGAATGAACATTTAGGTCAGCCCTAGCCAGAGGGGAATCATCTACCCCAGTGGGCAGAATATGAGTTATGACTAGCCACACACCACACTAAAGTGTTCTAGGGTCTTAAGAAAAGTTGAAAGACAATCTAGGCTACAAGGACTGTAATTCCTGGACAAGTACTGCTTCTGGGCTGGGCTCAGAGCCAGTGGACTTGGAGTGTATGTGATCCACTGAGACAACAGCTGGGGCGACCAAGAGAGTGCTTGTGTCACCCCTTCTCAACCACAGGCAGGGCAGCTTACTGCTCCTGGAGGGACTCTTTCCTTCCACTTGAGAAATGGAGAGGGGAGGGTAAAGAGGACTTAGTCTTACAACTTGGATACCAGCTTAGCCACAGTAAAATAAAGCACCAAAAGAAGTCTTGAAGTCCCAGTTCCAGGCCTTAGTTCCCAGGCAACATTTCCAGAAAATCCCTGGAACAGAAGGAAACCAACTTTCCTGAAGGGAAGAACTTAGTCTTAGCAGGATTCATCATCAGCTGACAAAAGAGCCCTGCGGCTTTGAATAAATATCAGTGGTAGCCTGACAGTACTCACCATGGTCATTGGACAAGACCCAGTACCATACTGGCTTCAAGTGTGACTCAGCACATTCCCAGCTGTGGTGGCCACAAGGAGAAACTCCTACTTGAGGAAAGGAAAAGGAAGAGTAAAAAGGACTTTGTCCTGTAACTTGGGTAACAGCTCAGCAGCAGTAAAATAAAGCACTGAGCAGACCCCTGAAGTCCCCGATTCCAGGCCTTTGCTCCTAGATGTCACTGTTAGACCTGCCAAGGTAATCTAAGGAATTCTCACAGATCTCACCCAAGAGCACCAAGGCAGTACCTCTTCAAATCTGCAAATGTCACAGCATTGCTGGGCTTGATATGTCTCCTAATGCAGGTATGGCTGCAGTGACCAAAGTCTTAGATCACAACACTTAATTCCCTTTGAATATTTGGAAGACTTTCCCAAGAAGGGCAGGAAGAAACAACCCCAGACTGTGAAGACTACAATATATACCTAACTCTTCAATGACCAATCATTGACTAAAATCTACAAACATCTAGACCATCCAGAAAAACATGATATCACTGAATGAACCAAATAAGACACCAGTGACTAATCCTGGAGAGACAGAGATATGTTACCCTCAGACAGAGACTTCAAATTTTTTTGAGGAAGCTCAACAAAATTCAAGATAAAACAGAAAAGGAATTTAGAATCCTATCTGATAAATTTAACAAAGAGATTGAATATTTATTTAAAATCAAGAAGAAATTCTGGAGCTGAAAATTTAATAGACATACTGAAGAATGCATTGGAGTCCCTCAACACCAGAATTGATAAACCAGAAGAAAGAATTGTGAGATTGAATACAGGCTATTTTATAATACATAGTCAGAGGAGACAAAAGAATAATAAATAAAATAGAATGAAGCATGACTGCAAGATTTAGAAAATAGCCTCAAAAGGGCAAATCTAAGAGTTATTGAAGAGGAAGCAGAGAAAGACATTGGGGTAGAAATTATATTCAAGGGGATAATAACAGATAACTTTCCTAACCAGATAAATATACAAATATTCAAGTACAAGAAAGTTATAGAATATCAAACTGGTTTAACTTCAATAAGACAACTTCGATATTTCATTCAAATAGAAACCAACAATGAGCAGGAGTAGCTAAGCTTACATCAGACAAAATTATTTCAAGACAAATACTAGAAAGAGCCAAAGATGGTCATTATATATTGATAAAGGGGTTAATTCACAAAGAGTATAAAAATTGTAAATATGTGCACCCAATCCTGGAGCACCCAGATATATAAAGCAAATAGTATTAGAGCTAAAGTGAGAGAGAGACTCCAATGCAATAATAGCTGGAGACTTCAACACTCCACTTACAGCATTGGACAGATCATCCAGACAAAAAATCAACAAAGAAACATTAGACTTAATGTGCAATATAGGCCAAATGGTCCTAATAGATATTTAAAGAACATTTTATCCAACAGTTGAAGAATACATATTCATCACCTCAGCACATGAATCATTCTCAAAGACAGACCATATATTAAGCCACAAAACAAACCTTAAAGATTTCAAAATAATTGAAACCATATCAAGTATCTTCTCTGACACAGTAGAACAAAATGAGAAATTAATAGCAAGAGGAAGTTTGGAAACTATACAAACACATGGAAATTAAACAACATGCTGCTGAATGACCAGAAGGTTAATGAAGAAATCAAGAAGGGAATTTAAAGATATCTTGAAACAAAGGAAAATGGAAACACAACAAACCTATGGGATGCAAGGAAAGCAGTACTGAGAGGAATGTTTATTCAAATGAGCAGCTACATCGAAAAAGTAGAAAAACTTTAAATAAAAAAATTAATAATGCATCTTAAAGAACTAGAAAAGTTAGAGCAAACAAAACCCAAAATTAGTAGAAGAAAAATTATAAAGAAAACAGCAGAAATCAATGAAATTGAAACAAAACACAAAAGATAAATGAAACAAAAAGTTTGTTTGTGAACAGATAAACAAAATCAACAAATCTTTAACTAGACTAAGAAAAAAAGAAAGAAGACCCAAATAAATAAAATCCAATATGAAAATGGAGAAATTACAACTAACACAGCAGAAATTCAAAGAATTATTAGAAACTAATATGAGCAACTATATGCCAATAAACTGGAAAACCTAGAAGAAATGGATAAATTTCTAGACATATACAACCTGCAAGATTGAAACATGAAGTCTAAAACTTTAGTAGACCAATAATAAGTAATGAGATCAAAGCCATAATAAAAAGTTTCCTGCAAAGAAATGCTCAGGACTTGATGTCAATTTTACCAAATATTTAAATAAGAAATAATATCAGTCCTACTCAGAATATTATGAAAAATGGAGCAGAAGAGAATACATCCAAACTTATTCTACAAGGCCAGCATTAGCCTGATACCAAAACAAAAGACACTTCAAAAATGAAAACTACAATATCCTTCATAAACACTAATGCAAAAATCCTCAATAAAATGCTGACAAACCAAATTCAACACCACAAAAAAGATCATTCATCATAACCAAGTAGGATGTATCCTAGGGATGCAAGGATGGCTTAATGTATGCAAATCAACCAATGTAATACATCATATCAACAGAATGAAGGAAAAACTTTATGATTATTTCAATTGATGCTGAAAAGCATCTGATAAAATTCAACATTCCTTCACGATGAAAACCCTCAAAAAACTGGAAATAGAAGGAACATACCTTGACACAATAAAACCCATATAAGACAGACCCACAGCTGCTATTATACTGAACAGGGAAAAACTGAAAGCCTTTCCTATAAGATCTAGAGCAAGACAAGGATGCTCATTTTCACCACTGTTATTCAACATAGTACTAGAAGTCCTAACTATAGCAAACAGAAAATAGAAACAAATAAAAGGCATCCACATTGGAAAGGAAGAAATCAAATTACTCTTGATGATATTATCTTTTATGTTGTTGTTTTGTTTGTGTTTTTGAGACAGAGTCTCACTCTGTCACCCAGATTGGAGGGCAATGGTTCCACCTTGGCTCACTACAATACCTGCTTCATGGGTTCAAGTGATTCTCTCACCTCAGGCTTCTGAGTAACTGGGATTACAGGTGCCTGCCACCATGTCCAGCTAATTTCTGTATTTTTAGTAGAGACAGAGTCTTGCCATGTTGGCCAGCCTGGTCTTGAACTCCTGACCTCAAGTGATCCACCTGCCTTGGCCTCCCAAAGTGCTGGGATTACAGGCATGAGTCACTGTGCCCAGCCTGATATTATCTTATGTTTGGAAAAACCTAAACACTCCACCAAAAATCTATGCAAACTCATAAATAAAATTAGTAAAGTTGCAAGGATATAAAATCAACATAGAAATCAGGAGCATATTTATATGACAACAGTGAACACTCTGAAAAAGAAATCAAGAAAGTAATCCCATTTACAATAGCTACAAATAAAATAAAAGAGCTAGGAATAAATTTAACCAAAGAAGTGAAGATATTTACAATGAAAACTATAAAACATTGGTGTGGAGCCAAGATGGCCAAATAGGAACAGCTCCAGTCTACAGCTCCCAGCGTGAGCAACGCAGAAGACAGAAGACGGGTGATTTCTGCATTTCCAACTGAGGTACCGGGTTCATCTCACTGGGGAAAGTCGGAAAGTGGGTGCAGGACAGTGGGTATAGCGCACCCAGCATGAGCAAAAGCAGGTTGAGGCATCACCTCACCTGAGAAGTGCAAGGGGTCAGGGAATTCCCTTTCCTAGTCAAAGAAAGGGGTGACAGATGGCACCTGGAAAATCGGGTCACTCCCACCCTAATACTGTGCTTTTCCAACAGTCTTAGTAAATGGCACACCAGGAGATTATATCCCGCTTCTGGCTTGGAGCTTCTGGCTTCTGGCAGGAGATTATATCCCGCTTCTGCCCACCGAGCCTCGCTCATTGCTAGCACAGCAGTCTGAGATCAAACTGCAAGGCAGCAGCAAGGCTGGGGGAGGGGCGCCCACCATTGCTGAGTCTTGAGGAGGTAAACAAAGCCTCCTGGAAGCTCGAACTGGGTGGAGCCCACTGCAGCTCAAGGAGGCCTGCCTGCCTGTGTAGACTCCACCTCTGGGGGCAGGGCAAAGCCAAACAAAAGGCAGCAGAGTCCTCTGCAAACTTAAGTGTCCCTGTCTGACAGCTTTGAAGAGAGTAGTGGTTCTCCCAGCACGCAGCTGGAGAGCTGAGAACAGACAGACTCCCTTCTCAAGTGGGTCCCTGACCCCTGAGTAGCCTAACTGGGAGGCACCCCCCAGTAGGGGCAGACTGACACCTCACACTGCTGGGTACTCTTCTGAGACAAAACTTCCAGAGGAACGATGAGGCAGCAACATTTGCTGTTCACCAAAATTTGCTGTTCTGCAGCCTCTGCTGCTGATACCCAGCCAAACAGGGTCTGGAGTGGACCTCCAGCAAACTCCAACAGACCTGCGGCTGAGAGTCCTGACTGTTAGAAGGAAAACTAACAAACAGAAAGGACATCCACACCAAAATCCCATCTGTACGTCACCATTGTCAAAGACCAAAGGTAGATAAAACCACAAAGAATGGGAAAAAACAGAGCAGAAAAACTGGAAACTCAAAAAATCAGAGCGCCTCTCCTTCTCCAAAGGAATGCAGCTCCTCACCAGCAACGGAACAAAGCTGGACAGGGAATGACTTTGACGAGTTGAGAGAAGAAGGCTTCAGACGATCAAACTACTCCGAGCTAAAGGAGGAAGTTCGAACCCATGGCAAAGAAGTTAAAAACCTTGAAAAAAAATTAGACGAATGGCTAACTAGAATAACCAATGCAGAGAAGTCCTTAAATGACCTGATGGAGCTGAAAACCAAGGCACAAGAACTACATGACAAATGCACAAGCCTTGGTAGCCAATTCAATCAACTGGAAGAAAGGGTATCAGTGATGGAAGAGCAAATGAATGAAATGAAGCACGAAGAGAAGCTTAGAGAGAAAAGAAATGAACAAAGCCTCCAAGAAATAGGGGACTATGTGAAAAGACCAAATCTATGTCTGATTGGTGTACCTGAAAGTGACGGGGAGAATGGAACCAAGTTGGAAAACACGCTGCAGGATATTATCCAGGAGAACTTCCCCAATCTAGCAAGGCAAGCCAACATTCAAATTCAGGAAATACAGAGAAGGCCACAAAGATACTCCTCGAGAAGAGCAACTCCAAGACACATAATTGTCAGATTCACCAAAGTTGAAATGAAGGAAAAAATGTTAAGGGCAGCCAGAGAGAAAGGTCGGGTTACCCTCAAAGGGAAGCTCATCAGACTAACAGCGGATCTCTCGGCAGAAACTCTACAAGCCAGAAGACAGTGGGGGCCAATATTCAACATTCTTAAAGAAAAGAATTTTCAACCCAGAATTTCATATCCAGCCAAACTAAGCTTCATAAGTGAAGGAGAAATAAAATCCTTTACAGACAAGCAAATGCTGAGAGATTTTGTCACCACCAGGCCTGCCCTACAAGAGCTCCTGAAGGAAGCACTAAACATGGAAAGGAAAAACCAGTACCAGCCACTGCAAAAACATGCCAAATTGTAAAGACCACTGAGGCTAGGGAGAAACTGCATCAACTAAGGAGCAAAATAACCAGCTAACATCATAATGACAGGATCAAATTCACACATAACAATATTAATCTTAAATGTAAATGGGCTAAATGCTCCAATTAAAAGACACAGACTGCCAAATTGGATAAAGAGTCAAGACCCATCAGTGTGCTGTATTCAGGAGACCCATCTCACGTGCAGAGACATACATAGGCTCAAAATAAAGGGATGGAGGAAGACCTACCAAGCAAATGGAAAACAAAAAAAGGCAGGGGTTGCAATCCTAGTCTCTGATAAAACAGACTTTAAACCGACAAAGATCAAAAGAGACAAAGAAGGCCATTACATAATGGTAAAGGGATCAATTCAGCAAGAAGAGCTAACTATCCTAAATATATATGCACCCAATACGGGAGCACCCAGATTCATAAAACTAGTCCTCAGAGACCTACAAAGAGACTTAGACTCCCACTCAATAATAATGGGAGATTTTAACACCCCACTGTCAACATTAGACAGATCAACGAGACAGAAAGTTAACAAGGATATCCAGGAATTGAACTCAGCTCTGCACCAAGCGGACCTAATAGACATCTCCAGAACTCTCCACCCCAAATCAACAGAATATACATTCTTTTCAGCACCACACCACGTCTATTCCAAAATTGACCACATAGTTGGAAGTAAAGCACTCCTCAGGAAATGTAAAAGAACAGAAATTATAACAAACTGTCTCTCAGACCACAGTGCAATCAAACTAGGACTCAGGATTAAGAAACTCACTCAAAATCACTCAACTACATGGAAACTGAACAACCTGCTCCTGAATGACTACTGGGTACATAATGAAATGAAGGCAGAAATAAAGATGTTCTTTGTAACCAACTAGAACAAAGACACAACATACAAGGATCTCTGGGACGCATTCAAAGCAGTGTGTAGAGGGAAACTTATAGCACTAAATGCCCACAAGAGAAAGCAGGAAAGACCTAAAATTGATGCCCTAACATCACAATTAAAAGAACTAGAGAAGCAAGAGCAAACACATTCAAAAGCTAGCAGAAGGCAAGAAATAACTAAAATCAGAACAGAACTGAAGGAAATAGAGACACAAAAAACCCTTCAAAAAATCAATGAATCCAGGAGCTGGTTTTTTGAAAAGATCCACAAAATTGATAGACCTCTAGCCAGACTAACATAGAAGAAAAGAGAGAAGAATCAAATAGATGCAATAAAAAATGATAAAGGGGATATCACCACCAATCCCACAGAAATACAAACTACCATCAGAGAATACTATAAACAACTCTAAGCAAATAAACTATAAAATCTAGAAGAAATGGATAAATTCCTCAACACATATACCCTCCAAAGACTAAACCAGGAAGAAGTTGAATCTCTGAATAGACCAATAACAGGCTCTGAAATTAAGGCAATAATTAATAGCTTACCAACCAAAAAAAGTCCAGGACCAGAAGGATTCACAGCCAGATTCTACCAGAGGTACAAGGAGGAGCTGGTACCATTCCTTCTGAAAATATTCCAATCAATAGAAAAGAGGGAATCCTCCCTAAGTCATTTTATGAGGCCAGCATCATCCTGATACCAAAGCCAGTCAGAGACACAACAAAAAATGAAAATTTTAGACCAATATCTCTGATGAACATTGATGCAAAAATCCTCAATAAAATACTGGCAAACCGAATCCAGCAACACATCAAAAAGCTTATCCACCATGATCAAGTGGGCTTCATCCCTGGGATGCAAGCCTGGTTCAACATACGCAAATCAATAAATGTAATCCAGCATATAAACAGAACCAAAGACAAAAACCACATGATTATCTCAATAGATGCAGAAAAGGCCTTTGACAAAATTCAACAACCCTTCATGCTAAAAACTCTCAATAAATTAGGTATTGATGGGAAGTATCTCAAAATAATAAGAGCTATCTATGACAAACCCACAGCCAATATCATACTGAATGGGCAAAAACTGGAAACATTCCCTTTGAAAACTGGCACAAGACAGGGATGCCCTCTCTCACCACTCCTATTCAACATAGTGTTGGAAGTGCTGGCCAGGGCAATCAGGCAGGAGAAGGAAATAAAGAGTATTCAATTAGGAAAAGAGGAAGTCAAATTGTCCCTGTTTGCAGATGACATGATTGTATATCTACAAAACCCCATCGTCTCAGCCCCAAGTCTCCTTAAGCTGATAAGCAACTTCAGCAAAGTCTCAGGATACAAAATCAATGTGCAAAAATCACAAGCTTTCTTATACACCAATAACAGACAAACAGAGAGCCAAATCATGTGTGAACTCCCATTCACAATTGTTTCAAAGAGAATAAAATACCTAGGAATCCAACTTACAAGGGATGTGAAGGACCTCTTCAAGGAGAACTACAAACCGCTGCTCAAGGAAATAAAAGAGGATACAAACAAATGGAAGAACATTCCATGCTCATGGGTAGGAAGGATCAATATCGTGAAAATGGCCATACTGCCCAAGGTAATTTATAGATTCAATGCCATCCCCATCAAGCTACCAATGACTTTCTTCACAGAATTGGAAAAAACTATTTAAAGTTCATATGGAACCAAAAAAGAGCCTGCATCACCAAGTCAATCCTAAGCCAAAAGAACAAAGCTGGAGGCGTCACCCTACCTGACTTCAAACTATACTACAGGGCTACAGTAACCAAAACAGCATGGTACTGGTACCAAAACAGAGATATAGATCGATGGAGGAGAACAGAGCCCTCAGAAATAACGCCGCATATCTACAACTATCTGATCTTTGACAAACCTGAGAAAAACAAGCAATGGGGAAAGGATTCCCTATTTAATAAATGGTGCTGGGAAAACTGGCTAGCCATATGTAGAAAGCTGAAACTGGATCCCTTCCTTACACCTTATACAAAAATTAATTCAAGATGGATTAAAGACTTAAATGCTCAACCTAAAACCATAAAAACCCTAGAAGAAAACCTAGGCAATACCATTCAGGACATAGGCATGGGCAAGGACTTCAGGTCTAAAACACCAAAAGCAATGGCAACAAAAGCCAAAATTGACAAATGGGATCTAATTAAACTAAAGAACTCCTCAAAAGAAGACATTTATGCAGCCAAAAAATGCATGAAAAAATGCTCATTACTGGGTATATACCCAAAGGTCTATAAATCATGCTGCTATAAAGACACATGTCCACGTATGTTTATTGCGGCACTATTCACAATAGCAAAGACTTGGAACCAACCCAAATGTCCAGCAATGATAGACTGGATTAAGAAAATGTGGCACATATACACCATGGAATACTATGCAGCCATAAAAAATGATGAGTTAATGTCCTTTGTAGGGACATGGATGAAGTTGGAAATCATCATTCTCAGTAAAATATCGCAAGAACAGAAAACCAAACACAGCATATTCTCACTCATAGGTGGGAATTGAACAATGAGAACACATGGACACAGGAAGGGGAATATCACACTCTGGGGACTGTTGTGGGGTGGGGGGAGTGGGGAGGGATAGCATTGGGAGATATACCTGATGCTAGATGACGAGTTAGTGGGTGCAGTGCACCAGCATGTCACATGTATACATATGTAACTAACCTGCACATTGTACACATGTACCCTAAAACTTAAAGTATAATAATAATAATAATAATAATAAAGAATCTCTGCACAGCAAAAGAAACTACCATCAGAGTGAACAGGCAACCTCCAGAATGGGAGAAAATTTTTGCAATCTACTCATCTGACAAAGAGCTAATATCCAGAATCTACAATGAACTCAAACAAATTTACAAGAAAAAAACAAACAACCCCATCAAAAAGTGGGTGAAGGATATGAACAGACACTTCTCAAAAGAAGACATTTATGCAGCCAAAAAACACATGAAAAAATGCTCATCGTCACTGGCCATCAGAGAAATGCAAATCAAAACCACAATGAGATACCATCTCACACCAGTTAGAATGGCAATCATTAAAAAGTCAGGAAACAACAGGTGCTGGAGAGGATGTGGAGAAATAGGAACACTTTCACACTGTTGGTGGGACTGTAAACTAGTTCAACCATTGTGGAAATCAGTGTGACGATTTCTCAGGGATCTAGAAGTAGAAACACCATTTGACCCAGCCATCCCATTACTGGGTATATACCCAAAGGATTATAAATCATGCTGCTATAAAGACACATGCACATGTATGTTTTTTGCGGCACGATTCACAATAGCAAAGACTTGGAACCAAGCCAAATGTCCAACAATGATAGACTGGATTAAGAAAATGTGGCACATATACACCATGGAATACTATGCAGCCATCAAAAATGATGAGTTCATGTCCTTTGTAGGGACATGGATGAAGCTGGAAACCATCATTCTCAGCAAACTATTGCAAGGACAAAAAACCAAATGCCTCATGTTCTCACTCACAGGTAGGAATTGAACAATGAGAACACATGGACACAGGAAGAGGAACATCACACACAGGGGCCTGTTGTGGGGTGGTGGTAGGGGGGAGGGATAGCACTAGGAGATATACCTAATGCTAAATGACAAGTTAATGGGTGCAACACCAACATGGCACATGTGGCCCATGTAAACATATGTAACTAACATGCACGTCGTGCACATGTACCCTAAAACTTAAAGTATAATAAAAAAAAGAAAACTATAAAACATTGATGCAAGAAGTTCAAGATGACATACACACACAAATGAAAGTATATTCTATGTTCATGGATTATAAGAGTCAACACTGACAAAATGTTCATACTACTCTAAACATTCTATAGGCTCGATGCAATTCCTATTAAAATACCAATGACATTATTCACAGAAATAGAAATATAATCCTAAAATCTATATGAGACCACAATGGACCCAGAATAATCAAAGCCACCCTAAGCAAAAGAACAAAACTGGAGAAATCACATTATATGAATTAAAATTATAGTACAGAGCTATAGTAACCAAAACAGTATGGTACTGGCAAAAAAAAAAAAAAAAAAAAAAAAAGACACAGTCTAATGGAACACAATAGAGAACCCAGAAATAAATCCTTGTATCTACAGTGAAGTCATTTTTATCAAAAGTTCCAAGGATCTACATTGGGGAAAAGGACAGTCTCTTCTATGAATGGTACTCAGAAAACTGGATATCCATATGCAGAAGAATGAAACTAGACCCGTATCTCTTGCCATATACAAAAATCAAATCAAAATAGATTAAAGGTTGAATTTAAGATCTCAAACAATAAAACTACTAAAAAAGTAAACATTGGAGAAACTTTCCAGGATATTGGTCTGGGCAAAGATTTCTTGAGTAATACCCCAAGTAATACAAATACAAACACAGGCAACCAAATAAAAAAATGGACAAATAGAATTGCATCAATAAAAAAAGCTTTTGAACAGAAAAGAAAACAATCCTTTGTCTTATAGAATGAGAGAAAATATTTGCAAACTATTTATATGACAAGGAATTAATAACTGGAATATATAAGGAACTCAAATAAGTCAATAGACAAAAATCTAATAACCCAATTTAAAAATGGACAAAAGATTTGAATAGACATTTTTCAAAGGAAAACATACAAGCAACCAACAGACATATGAAAAGATGCTCAACATCATTGACCATCAGATAAATGCAAACCAAACTATAATGAAATATCTTGCCTCAGTTAAAATGGCTTTTATTCAAAAGACGGGCTATAATATGCTAGTGAGTATGTGGACAAAAGAGAATCCTTGTACACTGTTAGAGGGAATGTAAGTTAGTATAACCACTGTGAAGAACACTATGGAAGTTCCTCAGAAAACTTCCATATGATGCAGCAATCCATCTGCTAGGTTTATACCCAAGAAGAAGGAAATCAATATGTTGAAGAGATGTCTGCACTCCTATGTTTATTGTAGTACTGTTCACAATAACCAAAATTTGAAAGTAATCTAAGTGTTGGTCAATAGATGAAGAGATAAAGAAAATGTAATTAAGTACTATTCAGCCATAAAATAAAATGAGATCCTGTCATTTGCAACAACATGGATGGAACTGGAGGAAATTATATTAAGTGAAATAAGCCAGGCACAGAAAGGGAAATTTTGCATGCTCTCACTCACTTGTGGGAGCTAAAAATTAAAACAAAGGACCTCATGGGGAGAGAGAATGGAATGATGGTTATCAGAGGCTGGGAAGGATAGTGGGAGTCAGGGGAGTGGGGATGGTTAATGGGTATAAAAAATAGAGTTATAAAAATGAATAAGATCTAGTATTTGATAGCACAATAGGGTGACTGCACTCAATAATAATTTATTGTACATGTTAAAATAACTAAAATAGTAAAATTGAATTATTCATAACACAACAAATCGATAAATGCTTGAGGTGATGGATACTCCACTTACCCTGATGTGATCATTATGTATTATAGGTCTTTAACACAATATCTCATGTATCCTACAAATATGTATGTACCTACTACTTACCCACAAACCAAAAAATAGCTAGTAAAAGTAGAAGTAATGACAGTAGTGTGAATAATCATAAACATAGTAGTAATAGTAGTGGAAGCAGTAGTAATAATATTATTAATTTTGTGGTTAATGGGATTGGTAAAACAAGTCAGTAGAAATGGTCATTTCAGACTTTTTGTGGACAAAATGTAATAAGTGTGAATATTATTTTATAATTTCTTTTGATAAATTCCACACATATTAAGAAATCTTACGAGTATAATTTGAATTAGCAAGTAGATCTGCCTATAAACAAAGTATAATCAATCATCAATCCAATTAATAGTTATATTTGTTAAAATAATAAATTAGTATTCTGATTTTTATGCATGTGTTCTAATTACCATTGAGTTAGTTGCCTTTGGCTGCACTAAGGAAATCAAATTTCTAAGCTTAATAGCTTTTCATTACAGAATACCATGCTATATAGTGAAAACACCAACATACTGCCATCCCACGGAGATCCGATTAAGGAGCCAGCCAAATTTCCCTCTGAAACACATTCTTCAAATTGCAGTAAATGTTGATAAACCACATAAATCACCTGGATTAGCTTCAGAGTACTTACCAGTGGTTATTATCATCTTAAATTTATGTATTTGCTTTGTTCCACTTAAACCATTCAACTTTACTGATCTTAGAGTAGCTCTGGTGACAGAAAAAAATTTTTAAAATCCAGTAAAATCCAGAAAATTAATATGATATCAAGTAATCCAGAGCACAAAATACAAAGGCAACTTAAATACTAGAAAACTGATAGAAGATTCTACTCACTGTAGAAATTAACTAGTATCTATAAGACACTAATATTGTTATATTCTACATAAGTCTGTCCTATGTGCACAATGCTTACATGATATTTTTTCATCCATTATGGCTATAATCATTGATTTTAAAAGATTAATTATAAAAATCCATGACTAAAATCTATAAATGCTATGCTTTTATAGATTCTGAAATGTAAGTTCATTATTAATGGTGATAAAGATGCAAATAAAATTATTGATCTGTAAAGTTTGAAAAACATAGAAATAAAAAGGGTATAGGTAAAAATACAGCAGTCTAAATAAAATGCAATAAGGCACAAGAAAGACTGGCTTTGATTATTCCATTTATCATGTCTTCTTCCTGTAACAAAATTTTTAAACATATCTAATACATGGAAACATCTTGTAAGCAGTACTGTGTTGTTTTACCTCTCATCATCCATAGAATTACATGGACCACATGACAGGTGGTAAATGGTGTGTTTCTTAAATATGACTTTAGCATATTAAGGTTATTTTACTTTTCAGTCATATTTTGGCTAGCTAACTATGGGCAAATAAAAACTCTAAAATATATGAGGAAAGATTATTTATTTATTTTTCAAATATCCTTTTTTTTTTGAAGGAGCTTACAAAAAGGAAAAATAAGGTTCATAGAGTAGAGGAGAAATAGAAAATTCAGACATAGAATTAAAAATATGAAAAATGTGAAAAGGTTTAGCAGCGAGCCACAAAGATGAATAATTGTTGGAAACTAAGGCTAATGGGGAAAAGTTTAAAGAACTGAGAATTTTAGCTAAACTGAGATAAAGAAAGCACCATGTCCCTCTCCAATTTATTTCTCTGACAACTTTACTAATTCCATTTCTAAAGAATCCACTGAAGAAAAAAATTACACTTAGAGGAGAGCAAAAGAAAGGGTTTACAATATACTATAAACGACTTAAGTTTGTCCAAACAAGAAAAATCAATTCTTTGTGTGGAAGAAGGTATTAATACAAAAGATGAGTGTGACTTGTCAGCAAAGTAAGACTAGCTTTCTCCAGAAGTTGACATATAACACTCAGGAATGAGGCTGTGCATTGTTGATTTTAAAGGAATCGGAGGACAGAAAGGACAGAAACACTATCATCTAATGAATTTGAATCCTGAGAAAGCTTTCAGTGTCAGCTCTGCCCCGACTGATTCAAGAAGCCAGCCTGTACCGGTACAAACTGAAACTAAAGGAAAGGAGGGGAGGGTTTTTCAATTGCTTTTTAGGAGTCTCAATGGATAACTGGAGTTGAAGGATAAAAAAGATCTTCAGAGCAGTCATCTGCATTTGGAAACTAAGGTAAAGATGAGAGAGATGGCTGCTATTCACGTTGAGTGAAGGCCCATGATTACATACTTGGCTAGGAAAACAGAATATTACATGTCCTACTTATCAATAAAGTACTCTTAAGTTCATCTACACTGGGTTTCTAGTGATTTCTGGACATGGCAGGGCTGTACATAAAGATGGTTGGTCTTTAGCATCAGTAAGGGAAGGCACAGATTCACATCAGGAAATTAATCTCAAATATCTTCATCAGTCCTCTAAATACCTGTGTCCCAATACATTGTAAAAGGTCAGACTAATCCCCCATATCCTCTTTCTACTGTAAAATATGATGGGATATAATGCTCAGAATCAAGGAAACATCTCCCTGAGGAAACAATCATGTCTTTTTTAAAATTTCCTTTTGCTTAATATAACCTTTGTTAGGCAAGATAGGGAAATTTTAAAGGATACGTACAAAAGTAGTTCCTATTTAATCATAATTAACCAGAAAGTATATTAAACACTACATTACTTTTCAGTTGGAGTGTTTACAGTAAAAGCTAATCATGTCACTTAAGTATGTGAGAGAGAATTGAAGAATCTTTCTGACAGACTTTAGAGTGAATGTTTCATTTAAAGTGATAAAGGAAACTAATTATTCAAAATTTTTCAACCTTGTTTTTGTGAAAATATAGAACACAATTGATTATGGCTAAATGATGTAACTTATGGTATATAGAACACAACTTAAAAAATGATTTCCTTATCATGTGCCCTATGGCAATTCTGCTTATGGGTCGAGCTGATAGATACTATGGCCATTATTTTTTTGTCTGTGGAATAAATTAATTTTTAAATGTTTTTCAAATGTAAATTTAAATATGTACAGTGTATTCATTCAAATGACTGTACATACCTGAGATGGAAAATATCTGGAATGAAACATTCATTAAAATTCAATGGGCTAACTTCATTTAAGAACCAAAGAACAGACTGCACTTCATTCTGTTATAATGTTTACAAAGTGTTTCTTTAAATTTCAATAGCATCTGTTGGATGATTATGTGGCTTTTGATATCTTTCCTGACTTATTGCAGAAAAATGCAATATTTTTTTTTTGTGGACATGTTTGGCAGTATATATCCATAGCCAAGTATGTAAGAGGTACAGTAAAAACTTCTGCAAAGATAAATTTGTATGGGTATTAGTCAGTGTTGTTGGTTTTATACAACAGAAATTGGTGTAGGTTCCTGAGAAGGTAAAAGGAAAGGATTGTATAGCTATAAGAAGGAACTTTGAATTCAGAAAACTGGAGAACTCTGCTTGCACCAGAACCACAGCATTATGAGTGTGGCTACCCCAGCCTTCTAACACTGTAATTAATTCTAAAGTGTTCCATTCTTATGTAACTGGCACCAGAGTTAAAATTCCAGGTGGTAGTATCCAATTGGCAGAGTTTAGATAACTAGCCTAGGTGCCATAGTTTAGAGACAGCCAGTATAAACTCATTTAGTCTATAGTGAAATCTAGAACCCTGCCTTTCACCAGACTTACAGAGTGGTTTATTGCCCTAATTTAGGAAGGGGTCTCAAATGCGACACTGCTCCCAAAAATTAAAGCTACTGAAATATTTAACTAAGTTGAAACTATTAAGGAATGTGAATTACAAAAATTGTGAACAATGAACATATATTTTAAAAAATGCATGTTAATTTCCAACAATATTTCCTAATAAGGCTTCTTTTAAAAAGACATTTTGCAGCATATACATACTTTTATAATAAAGTATATGAAAACATATGTGTGCCTGTGTCTTTGAGTATGTTATATTGCACTTCATCTTAAGTCAAGATTTATTTTGTTCCTGGGACATTTATTTGATAAATTATTACAGTCCCTTTGGGTCTGTTATTATATGTGTGTTTTATTTTAATAGTTTTATGACATCTAAACTAGAAGACTATAAAACAGATTGTTTTAAAATAGATTCTGTGCCATGATTTGGGGTTTTGGCAGTATTAAATGATTAAAGTATTTAAACCTTGAAAATTACTATGCATTATCTAAAATAAAGTATTTAAATGAGTAAAATTCTGTGTGGAGCTTGATTTACTATTCAAATTGTTTTGTGAATGGTGTTCTTTACCTAAGAGCTAGTTCCTGAGAAATGATACACAGTGTCTTGATAAAGGGATAATATTAGATTGTAAACATCTTACATAATAAAGACATTGTTGCAAACTGGCAATGGTATTTGCCAGCACTTGCCAGTATAGCAATGTTATGTTGTACTTAGAAATTAACCCTTAGAGGGGGAGGAGCCAAGATGGCCAAATAGGAACAGCTCCAGTCTACAGCTCCCAGCCTGAGCAAGGCAGAAGACGGGTGATTTCTGCATTTCCATCTGAGGTACCGGGTTCATCTCACTAGGGAGTGCCAGACAGTGGGTGCAGGTCAGTGGGTGTGCGCACCGTACATGAGCCGAAGCAGGGCGAGGCATTGCCTCACTCGGGAAGCACAAGGGGTCAGGGAGTTCCCTTTCCTAATCAAAGAAAGGGGTGACGGACGGCACCTGGAAAATCGGGTCACTCCCATCCGAATACTGGCTTTTCTGACGGGCTTAAAAAAGGCGCACCACGAGATTATATCCCACACCTGGCTCAGAGGGTCCTACCCCACGGAGTCTCGCTGATTGCTAGCACAGCAGTCTGAGATCAAACTGCAAGGCGGCAGCAAGGCTGGGGGAGGGGCACCCACCATTGCCCAGGCTTGCTTAGGTAAACAAAGCAGCCGGGAAGTTCGAACTGGGTGGAGCCCACCACAGCTCAAGGAGGCCTGCCTGCCTCTGTAGGCTCCACCTCTGGGGGCAGGGCACAGACAAACAAAAAGACAGCAGTAACCTCTGCAGACTTAAATGTCCCTGTCTGACAGCTTTGAAGAGAGCAGTGGTTCTCCCAGCACACAGCTGGAGATCTGAGAATGGGCAGACTGCCTCCTCAAGTGGGTCCCTGACCCCTGACCCCTGAGCAGCCTAACTGGGAGGCAGGCTCCAGCAGAGGCACACTGACACCTTACACTGCAGGGTACTCCAACAGACCTGCAGCTGAGGGTCCTGTCTGTTAGAAGGAAAACTAACAAACAGAAAGGACATCCACATCAAAAACCCATCTGTACATCACCATCATCAAAGACCAAAAGTAGATAAAACCACAAAGATGGGGAAAAAACAGAACAGAAAAACTGGAAACTCTAAAACGCAGAGCGCCTCTACTCCTCCAAAGGAACGCAGCTCCTCACCAGCAAAGGAATAAAGCTGGATGGAGAATGACTTTGACGAGCTGAGGGAAGAAGGCTTCAGATGATCAAATTACTCTGAGCTATGGGAGGACATTCAAACCAAAGGCAAAGAAGTTGAAAACTTTGAAAAAAATTTAGAAGAATACATAACTAGAATAACCCATACAGAGAAGTGCTTAAAGGAGCTGATGGAGCTGAAAACCAAGGCTCGAGAACTACGTGAAGAATGCAGAAGCCTCAGGAGCCGATGCGATCAACTGGAAGAAAGGGTATCGGCAATGGAAGATGAAATGAATGAAATGAAGCGAGCAGGAAAGTTTAGGGAAAAAAGAATAAAAAGAAACGAGCAAAGCCTCCAAGAAATATGAGACTATGTGAAAAGACCAAATCTATGTCTGATTGGTGTACCTGAAAGTGACGGGGAGAATGGAACCAAGTTGGAAAACACGCTGCAGGATATTATCCAGGAGAACTTCCCCAATCTAGCAAGGCAGGCCAACATTCAAGTTCAGAAAATACAGAGAACGCCACAAAGATACTCCTCGAGAAGAGCAACTCCAAGACACATAATTGTCAGATTCACCAAAGTTGAAATGAAGGAAAAAATGTTAAGGGCAGCCAGAGAGAAAGGTCGGGTTACCCTCAAAGGGAAGCCCATCAGACTAACAGCGGATCTCTCGGCAGAAACTCTATAAGCCAGAAGACAGTGGGGGCCAATATTCAACATTCTTAAAGAAAAGAATTTTCAACCCAGAATTTCATATCCAGCCAAACTAAGCTTCATAAATGAAGGAGAAATAAAATCCTTTACAGACAAGCAAATGCTGAGAGATTTTGTCACCACCAGGCCTGCCCTAAAAGAGCTCCTGAAGGAAGCGCTAAACATGGAAAGGAACAACCGGAACCAGCTGCTGCAAAATCATGTCAAAATGTGAAGACCATCCAGACTAGGAAGAAACTGCATCAACTAAGGAGCAAAATAACCAGCTAACATCATAATGACAGGATCAAATTCACACATAACACTATTAACTTTAAATGTAAATGGACTAAATGCTCCAATTAAAAGACACAGACTGGCAAATTGGATAAAGAGTCAAGACCCATCAGTGTGCTGTATTCAGGAAACCCATCTCACGTGCAGAGACACATATAGGTTCAAAATAAAAGGATGGAGGAAGATCTACCAAGCAAATGGAAAACAAAAAAAGCAGGGGTTGCAATCCTAGTCTCTGATAAAACAGACTTTAAACCGACAAAGATCAAAAGAGACAAAGAAGGCCATTACATAATGGTAAAGGGATCAATTCAACAAGAAGAGCTAACTATCCTAAATATATATGCACCCAATACAGGAGCACCCAGATTCATAAAGCAAGTCCTGAGTGACCTACAAAGAGACTTAGACTCCCACACATTAATAATGGGAGACTTTAAGACCCCACTGTCAACATTAGACAGATCAACGAGAGAGAAAGTCAAAAAGGATACCCAGGAATTGAACTCAGCTCTGCACCAAGAGGACCTAATAGACATCTACAGAACTCTCCACCCCAAATCAACAGAATATACATTTTTTTCAGCACCACACCACACCTATTCTAAAATTGACCACATACTTGGAAGTAAAGCTCTCCTCAGCAAATGTAAAAGAACAGAAATTATAACAAATTATCTCTCAGACCACAGTGCAATCAAACTAGAACTCAGGATTAAGAATCTCACTCAAAACCGCTCAACTACATGGAAACTGAACAACCTGCTCCTGAATGACTACTGGGTACATAACGAAATGAAGGCAGAAATAAAGATGTTCTTTGAAACCAACGAGAACAAAGACACAACATACCAGAATCTCTGGGACACATTCAAAGCAGTGTGTAGAGGGAAATTTATAGCACTAAATGCCCACAAGAGAAAGCAGGAAAGATCCAAAATTGACACCCTAACATCACAATAAAAAGAACTAGAAAAGCAAGAGCAAACACATTCAAAAGCTAGCAGAAGGCAGGAAATAACTAAAAACAGAGCAGAACTGAAGGAAATAGAGACACAAAAAACACTTCAAAAAATTAATGAATCCAGGAGCTGGTTTTTTGAAAGGATCGACAAAATTGAGAGACTGCTAGCAAGACTAATAAAGAAAAAAAGAGAGAAGAATCAAATAGACGCAATAAAAAATGATAAAGTGGATATCACCACCGATCCCACAGAAATACAAACTACCATCAGAGAATACTACAAACACCTCTACGCAAATAAACTAGAAAATCTAGAAGAAATGGATAAATTCCTTGACACATACACTCTCCCAAGACTAAACCAGGAAGAAGTTGAATCTCTGAATAGACCAATAACAGGATCTGAAATTGTGGCAATAATCAATAGCTTACCAACAAAAAGAGTACAGGACCAGATGGATTCACAGCCGAATTCTACCAGAGATACAAGGAGGAACTGGTACCATTCCTTCTGAAACTATTCCAATCAACAGAAAAAGAGGGAATCCTCCCTAACTCATTTTATGAGGCCAGCATCATCCTGATACCAAAGCCGGGCAGAGACACAACCAAAAAAGAGAATTTTAGACCAATATCCTTGATGAACATTGATGCAAAAATCCTCAATAAAATACTGGCAAACTGAATCCAGCAGCACATCAAAACCTTATCCACCATGATCAAGTGGGCTTCATCCCTGGGATCCAAGGCTGGTTCAATATACGCAAATCAATAAATGTAATCCAGCACATAAACAGAGCCAAAGACAAAAATCACATGATTATCTCAATAGATGCAGAAAAGGCCTTTGACAAAATTCAACAACGCTTCATGCTAAAAACTCTCAATAAATTAGGTATTGATGGGACATATTTCAAAATAATAAGAGCTATCTATGACAAACCCACAGCCAATATCATACTGAATGGGCAAAAACTGGAAGCATTCCCTTTGAAAACTGGCATAAGACAGGGATGCCCTCTCTCACCACTCCTATTCAACATAGTGTTGGAAGTTCTGGCCAGGGCAATTAGGCAGGAGAAGGAAATAAAGAGTATTCAATTAGGAAAAGAGGAAGTCAAATTGTCCCTGTTTGCAGATGACATGATTGTATATCTACAAAACCCCATTGTCTCAGCCAAAAATCTCCTTAAGCTGATAAGCAACTTCAGCAAAGTCTCAGGATACAAAATCAATGTGCAAAAATCACAAGTATTCCTATACACCAACAACAGACAAACAGAGAGCCAAATCATGAGTGAACTCCCATTCACAATTGTTTCAAAGAGAATAAAATACCTAGGAATCCAACTTACAAGGGATGTGAAGGACCTCTTCAAGGAGAACTACAAACCGCTGCTCAAGGAAATAAAAGAGGATACAAACAAATGGAAGAACATTCCATGCTCATGGGTAGGAAGGATCAATATCGTGAAAATGGCCATACTGCCCAAGGTAATTTATAGATTCAATGCCATCCCCATCAAGCTACCAATGACTTTCTTCACAGAATTGGAAAAAACTATTTAAAGTTCATATGGAACCAAAAAAGAGCCTGCATCACCAAGTCAATCCTAAGCCAAAAGAACAAAGCTGGAGGCATCACCCTACCTGACTTCAAACTATACTACAGGGCTACAGTAACCAAAACAGCATGGTACTGGTACCAAAACAGAGATATAGATCGATGGAGGAGAACAGAGCCCTCAGAAATAACGCCGCATATCTACAACTATCTGATCTTTGACAAACCTGAGAAAAACAAGCAATGGGGAAAGGATTCCCTATTTAATAAATGGTGCTGGGAAAACTGGCTAGCCATATGTAGAAAGCTGAAACTGGATCCCTTCCTTACACCTTATACAAAAATTAATTCAAGATGGATTAAAGACTTAAACGTTAGACCTAAAACCATAAAAACCCTAGAAGAAAACCTAGGCATTACCATTCAGGACATAGGCATGGGCAAGGACTTCATGTCTAAAACACCAAAAGCAATGGCAACAAAAGCCAAAATTGACAAATGGGATCTAATTAAACTAAAGAGCTTCTGCACAGCAAAAGAAACTACCATCAGAGTGAACAGGCAACCTACAAAATGGGAGAAAATTTTCACAACCTACTCATCTGACAAAGGGCTAATATCCAGAATCTACAATGAACTCAAAGAAATTTACAAGAAAAAAACAAACAACCCCATCAAAAAGTGGGCAAAGGACATGAACAGACACTTCTCAAAAGAAGACATTTATGTAGCCAAAAAACACATGAAAAAATGCTCACCATCACTGGCCATCAGAAAAATGCAAATCAAAACCACAATGAGATACCATCTCACACCAGTTAGAATGGCAATCATTAAAAAGTCAGGAAACAATAGGTGCTGGAGAGGATGTGGAGAAATAGGAACTTTTACACTGTTGAGGGTACTGTAAACTAGTTCAACCCTTGTGGAAGTCAGTGTGGCGATTCCTCAGGGATCTAGAGCTAGAAATACCATTTGACCCAGCCATCCCATTACTGGGTATATACCCAAAGGACTATAAATCATGCTTCTATAAAGACACATGCACACTTATGTTTATTGCGGCATTATTCACAATAGCAAAGACTTGGAACCAACCCAAATGTCCAACAATGATAGACTGAATTAAGAAAATGTGGCACATATACACCATGGAATACTATGCGCCATAAAAAAGGATGAGTTCATGTCCTTTGTAGGGACATGGATGAAATTGGAAATCATCATTCTCAGTAAACTATCGCAAGAACAAAAAACCAAACACCGCATATTCTCACTCATAGGTGGGAATGGAACAATGAGATCACATAGACAAAGGAAGGGGAACATCACACTCTGGGGACTGTTGTGGCAGGGGGGAGGAGGGAGGGATTGCAGTGGGAGATATACCTAATGCTAGATGACGAGTTAGTGGGGGCAGCACACCAGCATGGCACATGTATACGTATGTAACTAACCTGCACAATGTGCACATGTACCCTAAAAGTTAAAGTATAATACTAATAAATAAATAAATAAAAAAGAAATTAACCCTTAGAATTCCAGTGACTTACCAAAACAAACATTTGTTTAGGCACATAACACATGCTAATGTGGCGATCAAGTGGAGTCGTACATCTGTGCTTCCTATAGTTTCTCAAGGGCTTAGATTGACAGAAATACCACCATACGCATTTTCTGGAATATGCAACCGTTTTGCTTGCCACAAAAGAGGGAATTAAGACTGAAGCATTCTTTATGGGCTTTTGACTGCGTCAGCCTGGAAATTATATGCTTATTCTTCAATTTCATTGGTAAACACAATCACATGACTTTGCAAGGAAGGATGGGAAATGCAGGGGTGTAAATAGACTATTTGGTGAGTATTATTGTCTCCACTACAGACAATTTTATATTTTCTTTATCATGTCAAGTTACCGTCTTGACTTTTAAAGACTTCTAAATTTGATTTTTCCTTAAATAACTACATTTAAAGCATATGTTTAATGCCATTAGAAGGAAGCATTTAGCAGCAAGGATTTTAGCTCTCCAATTATTATATTGTCCTATAGCTGGATAAGTGTTCTTTACAAACTTCTAGTATAATTTGAAGAATCATGTACAAGATAAAAAAATCCACACAAAAGAAGAAATATTATTGTTTTCAGATAATAACAGCTATACAAATTAAAAGTTTTACTTTTAAAGTGGCACTAAATACAGTATTCTCATAATAATTTCTTTTAATCTTAATGTATATAATTGTATATAACTATATATAGAGTCATATAGAAAAAAACAATGAGAAAAGACACATGATAAATTCAGAATGCAAACAGAAAATATCAAAAAACATTTAAAACAGAAAACTTTTTCTTGATGGTTCTTCCCACCACCTTATTTTCACACTGTTCTATTCTATGTAGTACATATCAAAACTTAGATACATGGAAAAGGCATGATTTTTTTAAATGGAGAACATAAATGCCTGTTGAAAAATGATCAAGATTCATAAAACAGAGAGGAAACACACCAAATGAATAAATCAAGTAGAGGTAAAAAAAATTAACATTAGTTTTAAAAATACTCTCAAATATAAACACATGATTTGCTTATTATATTATAAAAATATGCATACACATTATGTATAAAATATATTTGCATATATACACATGTATACATATATGTACTACATATTTGGTGCGTATCTATACGAGCATATGTGTGTATGTGTATATTATATATATAGAGAGAAAGAGTTGGCCTACTCCCAATTTTCCAAATTTTTTTGAAAATATGTAATCTCAGAAAGTAATAAATTTGAAAAATATAACATTGCTAAAGTTTTCAAAACAAATATGATGCATCATGATAAAATACACATACACACATATACAATATAGTGCTTTATTTCAAATTACCTATATTCTAAATAATCAGTAAGCAAGATTTATAATAAGATATGTGAAAGGAAATTGAGTTTGGCTCCTAAAAGCTGTATTATTTGTCTGCGCTCCTAAAAGCACAAACAAAATAGATAAGTGAATAAGTCTAGTTTTTAAAATTCCCTTTGACTTGAAGAACCAGATTCCTTAATGGTGGCAGGAAGGCAGTACAGCTTGCATTAGAGAAGTCTGGGTTTCATCTTGGGAGGAATTATTTACCAGATTCAGTATTTAAGCATAAATTTCATGAAGATTCATGAGCAAAAATAAATATTGTGAAGGAAGCTACTGTGTTAGGAATATTCGTTTACAACTCTGTTTAAGATTCAAAATGATCTTGAAATGGACCCTTGATATGGCCTGGGCAAAAACAATGAGGCCCTGATTCACTTTATACCATTGCCAGTGTAAAAGGGACATCATTTAGGAGAAATCGTCATAAAGTAGAAACAACAATAGAAAGCTGAAGTGTGGGGAAATCAGAATGTGTTATTCAAGACTAATTAACTAATAGTATTGGGCACAACTGGCAGCAGTAAGAAAGTGAAGCTTACAGGGTGGGATATGTGAACATAAGGTAGGAAGGGTATAGGGGAGATAAGGCAATGGAGTTCAGATTTAAGTCAGTCTGTCCAGTGAAGGTAGCTGATGTAATAGAAGATGATATTTTCAAGAAATAGAACCTAGTGAAGAGAGAGAAGAAACTGCCATGGGAAAACACAATATGTCATAATACAGGGAATATAAAAAATAAGACAGTAAAGAAGACACTTTAGAGCAAAGCGGCGATAGGATTACATTCAGATGTTTTCAATTACTGTGTTATCTTGGGAAACCTACTATGCTCTCTGAGACTCATTTTCTCAATTTGGAATAGTGAATAAGTTTAATCTACAGGATTGTTATTAGAATTAGATATAATACAGGGAATAGCAAGATGGTGAAACAGAAAACTCCATCATTCATCCACAAGGACACCAAGTTAACAACTACCTACACAGAAAAAACACCTTCATAGGAACCAAAAATCAGGTGAGTATTCATGGTACCTGGTTTTAACTTCATAAAAGAGGCACTGAAGAAGCAGAAAATATAGTCTTGAATCATCGATGCTGCCCTTTCCCCATCCCTGGCAGTGTGGCATGGTATGGAGAACATCTCTGGGCACTGGGGGGCGGGAAAGAATACAGCAATTGTGAGGCATTAAACTCCATCCTGTCCTGTTAGAGCGGAAAGGAAAACCAGACCAAACTCAGCTGATGCCTGCCCACGGAGGGAACATTTTAACCAGCGGGATCACCTGGGAACTTGAGTTCCCACAATCCTCATCACTGCAGGCTACAGCACTCTGTGTCTCCAAGTAAACTTGAAAGGCAGTCTAGGCCATAAGGACAGAGATTTGTCAGTTGAGTCCCAGTGTTGAATTAGGCCCAGAGACAGTAGACTGTGGGTGGGGAGGAGACACAACATACTGAGAAGTCAGCTGGGGCAGCCAAGGGAGTTCTGCACTGTGCCTCCCCTAACCCAGCTGCACAGGTCACAGCTCCAAAAGAGAACCCTTCCTTCTACTTGAGGAGAGGAAGAGGAAGAATGGGGAGGGCTTTGTCTTGCATCTAGAATATCAGCCCAGCCACAGTAGGCTAGGGCACCAATCAGAGATGTGAGACCCCTGTTCCAGGCCCTAGCTCCTGGACAACATTTCTAGACACACCCTGGGCCAGAATGGAACCCACTGACTTGAAGGAAAGGAACCAGACTTGCCAGTATTCATCACTTGCTAACTGAAGAGCCCTTGGGCCCTGAATGAATAGGAGCCATACCCAGGTACTACATTGAGGGCCTTGACTGAACCTCAGACTTGTGGACTTCAGGTGGGACTCAGCACATAACCAGCCACAGTGAGCACTGAGCAAAACTCCTGCTTGAGAAAAGCAAAGAGAAAAGTAAAGGAGACTTTGTCTCGCACCTCAGGTACCAGCGAGGCCATAGGGGCATAGAGCACTAAGCCAGCTCTTGGGGGTCTCCAGTTCCAGGGCTTGACTCTTGGACTGCATTTCTGGACCTGTCCTGGGCCAGAGTTGCCCTGAAAGATGAGTTGCAGAACAGGCAGCATTCACCACAAGCTGACTTAAGAGACCTTGGGAGTTTTTAACATGAAGGGATGTTGAATTTTATCAAAAGGCTTTTCTGCCTCTATTGAGATAATTATGTGCTTTTTGTCTTTAGTTCTGTTTATGTGATGAATCACACTTACTGATTTGCATACGCTGAACCAGCCTTACATCCTGAGGATGACGCCTACTTGACCGTGATGGATACGCTTTTTGATGTGCTGCTGGATTCAGTTTGCCAGTATTTTGTTGAGGATTTTTGCATCAATATTCACCAAGGATATTGGCCTGAAGTTTTCTTTTCTTTCTCTCTCTCTCTTTTTTTTTTTTTTTTTTTTTTTTTTTTGGTATTTCTGCCAGGTTTTGGTAACAGGATGATGTTGATGTTGGCATCATAGAATGAGTTATGGAGGGGTCCTTCCTTTTCAGTTTTTTGGAATAGTTTCAGTAGGAATGGTACTAGCTCTTCTTTGTACCTGTGATAGAATTCAGTTGTGACTCTTTCTGGTCCTGGGCTCTTTTTAATTGGTAGGTTATTTATTACTGCCTCAAATTCAGAACTAATTACTGATCTATTCAGCGATTTAATTTCTTCCTAGTTCAGTCTTGGGAAGGTGTTTGTGTCCAGGAATGTATCCATTTCTTCCAGATTTTCTAGTATATGTACAGAGAGGTTGTTTATAATATTCTCTGATGGTTGTATTTCTGTGGGGTCAGTAGTGTTATCTTCCTTAACACTTCTGATTGTGTTTATTTGACTCTTCTCTCTTTTATTTTTTATTAGTCTAGCTAGTAATCTATCTATTTTATTAATTTTTTCAAAAAACCAGCTTCTGGATTTACTAATTTTTGAAGGTTTTGTGTGTGTGTGTGTGTGTGTGTGTGTGTCTCCAGCTCCTTCAGTTTAGCTCTGATCTTGGTTATTTCTAGTCTTCTGCTACTTTTGGAGTTTGTTTCCTATTGGTTCTTCAGTTCTTTTAGTTGTGATGTTGGGTTGTTAACATAAGATCTTTCTAGCTTTTGTACGTGGCCATTTTGTGCTATAAATTTTCCTTTTAATCCTGCTTTAGCTGTGTCCCAGGGATTCTCGTACATTGTGTCTTTGTTCTCATTCTTTCAAATAACTTCTTGATTTCTACCTTAATTTCATTATTTACCCAAAAAGTCATTCAGGAGCAGGTTGTTCAGTTTCCATGTAGTTACATGGTTTTGACTGAAATTCTTAATCTTGAGTTCTAAATTGATTGTGTTTTTGTCTGAGAGACTACAGATATCGAAGGAACATACCTCAAAATAATAAGCACCATATATGACAAACCCACAGGAAATATCATACTGAATGGGCAAAAGCTGGAATCATTCCACTTGAAAACCAGCACAAGACAAGGTTACCCTCTCTCACCACTCCTATTCAATGTAGTATTGGAAGTTATGGCCAGGGCAATCAGGTAAGAGAAAGAAATAAAGGGTATTTAAATCGGAAGACTGGAAGTAAAACTTTGTTTGCAGATGACATGATCCTATACCTAAAAAACCCCATCATCACAGCCCAAAATTTTCTTAAGCTGATAAGCAATTTTAGCAAAGTCTCAGGATACAAAGTCAATATGCAAAAATCACTAGCATTTCTGTACTGCAACAACAGACAAGCCAAAAGTCAAATCAAAAATGAACTTCCATTCACAATACTGACAAAAAGGAGAAAATACCTAGGAATACAGCTAACAAGAGAAGTGAAGGACTTCCTCAAGGATAACTACAAACCACTGTTCACAGAAATTATAGGAGACACAAAACAAATTGGAAAACAGTCCATGCTCATGGAGAGGAATAATTATCCTGTCAAAACAATTTATAGATTCAGTGCTATTCCCATTAAACTACAATTGACATTTTTTCACAGAACCAGAAAAAAACTATTTTACAATTCATATGGAACAAAAACAAACTCTGAATAGCTAAAGTAACTCTAAGCAAAAAGAACAAAGCTGCAGGCATCATGCTACTTGACTTCAAACTACACTACAGGGCTACAGAAACAAAAACAGCATGGTACTTGTATGATAACAGACACATATACCAATGGAACAAAATATAGAACCCAGAAATAAGACTGCACACCTACAACCATTGATCTTCAACAAACCTGACGAAAACAGGCAATGGGGAAAGAATTCCCTATTTAATAAATGGTGCTGGGAGAACTGGCTAACCATATGCAGAAAACTGAAACTGGACCCCTTCCTTACACCATATACGAAAATCAACTCAAGACAAATTAAAAACCTAAATGTAAAACCCAAAACTATAAAATCCTTCGAAGAAAACCTAGGCAATGCCATTCAGGACATAGGTACAGGCAAAAGTATCATGAGGAAGATGCCAAAATCAATTGCAGCAAAAGCAAAAATTGTCAAATAGTATCTAATTAAACTAAAGGGCTTCTGCACAGCAAAAGAATTTATTAGCAGAGTAAACAAACAAGTTACAGAATGGAAACAAATTTTGCAATCTATCCATCTGACAATGGTCTAATATTCAGCATCTATAAGGAACTTAAATACATTTACAGGAAAAACAAACAACCCCATTAAAAAGTATGCAAAGGATATGAACAGACACTCCTCCAAAGAAAACATACATGCAGCCAAAAAAACATGAAAAGAAACTCAACATCACTGACCATTAGAGAAATGCAAGTCAAAACCACAATGAGATACCATGTCATACCAGTCAGAATTGCTATTACTAAAAAGCCAAAAAACAGCAGATGCTGGCAAGGTTTTGGAGAAAAAGGAACACTTTTTTACTGTTGGTTAGAGTGTGAATTAGTTTAACCATTGTGGAAAACTGTGGTAATTCCTCAAAGACCTAGAGGCAGAAATACCATTCAACCCAGCAATCCCATTACTGAGTATATACCAAAAGGAATATAAATCATTCTATTATAAAGACACATGCATGCATATGTTCATTGCAGCACTATTCACAGTAACAAAAACATGGACTCAACCTAAATGCTCATCAATAATACTCTGGATAAAGAATATGTGTACATATACACCATGGAATACTATGCAGCCATAGAGAGGAATGAGGTCATGTCCTTTGCAGGGACATGGATGGAGCTGAAGGCCATTATCCTTAGCAAACTAATGCAGGAACAGAAAATCAAATATCACATGTTCTCTCTTATAAGTAGGAGCTAAATCATGAGAACACATGGACACAAGGAGGTGGGAAACATCACACACTGTGTCTTGTCAGAGAATGGGGGCTTGTGGGGAGGAGTGAGGGCATAAGGAAGAATAGCTAATGGATGCTGGGCTTAATACCTGAGTGATGGGATTATCTTTAGAGCAAACGAGCATGGCACACTTTTACCTGGGAAACAAACTTGCATATCTTGTACATGTCCCCCTGAACATAAAATAAAAGTCAAAAATTTAAAAATAATAATAAAAGAAGAGACCTTGGGGCTTAATGGAACATTGGTGATAATCTGTCAGTGCTCCTTGTGGCCTGAGATGGCAGTGGCTATGGTGTGAGGCTCCTCTCCCTTTAGTAAAAGGAGAGAAGAGTGGGAAGGGCTGCATCTTGCTGTCTGAGTGTCAGCTCAACCACAATATGACATAACACAATATTATATAACAGGTGGAGTTCTAAGGTTTTTTACTTTAGTCCCTAACTCCTGGATGAAACTTCTGTACCCACCCAGAGCATAGGGAACCTCACTGCTGTGAAGGGCAAGACAGAGGCCTTGTTTGCCACCTGCTGATTGTGGAGATCCAGGGCTTTAAGCAAACATAGACAGTAGCCAGAGAGTGGTTACAGCAGGCCTTGGAAAAGACCTAGCACTGCTCTGGCTTCAGGTCTGACTCAGAGCCGTCATAGTGGTGGGGGCCACAGGAGTGCTTGTGTCACTCCAGCTCCAGCTTTAGGTGGCTCAGAACAGAGAGAGAGAAAGATTCTGCATGTTTGGGACAAAGGAAGGGAACACGAGTGTCTGCCTGGTAAACCAGAAAACTCTCCTAGATTTTGTCCAAGACCACCAAGGATGTACCTCTACAAGTCTGCAGTACCACAGAATTACTGGGCTTGGTATGCCCCATAAAGCAGATAGAGCTTAGATCTTTCAAATATCTGAAAAGTGTTTCCAAGAAGGATGGCTACAAGTAAATCCAGACAATGAAGACTACAATAAATACCTAACTCTTCAATGCTCAGACTCTGAAGAACATCTCTCCTAGCATCAACACCATCCCCGAAAACATTACCTCAGCAAATGAAATAAGGCACCAGGTACCAATACTGGAGAAACAGATATGTGACCTTTCAGACAGAGAATTAAAAATAGCCATGTTGAGAAAACTCAGAGAAATTCAGGATAACACAGAGAAGGAAATCAGAATGTTACCAGATAAATTTAACAATGAAATTGAAATAATTCAAAAGAATGGAGCAAAAATTTTGGAGCTAGAAAATACAGTTGGCAAACAAAAGAATGCATCAGAGTCTCTCAAAAGCGGAATTGATCAAGCAGAAGAAAGAATTGTGAGCTTAAAAACAGGTGATTTGAAAATACACAGCCAGAGGAGACAAAAGAAAAAAGAATAAAAACAATGAAGCATACATGTAGGATCTAGAAAATAGCCTCAAGAAGCCAAATCTAAGAGTTATTGTCCTTAAATAGGAGGTAGAGAAAGAGATAGGAGTAGATGGTTTATTCAAAGGGGTAATAATAGAGAACTTCCCAAACCTAAAGAAAAATATCAATATCCAAGTACAAAAAAGTTACAGAATACCAAGTAGGTTTAACCCAAAAAAACTACCTCAAGGCATTTAATAATCAGACTCCCCAAGGTCAAGGATGAAGAAAAGATTCTAAATGCAGCAGGAGAAGAGAAGCAAGTAACATACAATGGAGCATCAATATGTCTGACAGCAGGCTTTTCAGTGGAAACTTTACAGGCCAGGAGAGACTAGCATGACATATTTCAAGTCATGCTTGAAGGAAAAAATATTTTACCCTGGAATAGAATATCTGGTGAAAATATCCTTCAAACATGAAGGAGGTATAAAGACTTTCCCAGACAAACAAAAAGCTGAAGCATTTTATTAATACCACACCTGCCCTACAGGAAATGCTAAAAGGAGCACTTTAATCAGAAAGAAAAGGACGTTAATGAGCAATAAGCAATCACCTGAAGTTATAAAGCTCAGTGGTAATAGGAAGTACACAGAAAAACACAGAATACTATAACACTGTAAGTGTGGTGTATAAACTACTCTTATCCTAAGTGGAAAGAATTAACAATGAACCAATCAAAAAATAAGCATGACAACTTTTCAAGACACAACTCATACAATAAGATATAAATAGAAACAATAAAAAGTTAAAAAGCAGGGGGACGAAGTTCAGGTGTAGAGTTTTTAACAGTTTTCTTTTTGCTTATTTATTTGTGAAAATAATGTTGTTATCAGGTTAAGATAATGGGTTATGATAGTATTTGAAAGCCTCATGGTAACCTCACACTATTAACCACGCAATGTCATATGCAAAAAAATTAAAGATAGGAAGAAAAATAATTTCACCAAAGACAATCAGGTTCACTAGAAGAAGACAGAAAAAAAAGAAGGCAGATAACACCACAAAGCAAACAGAAAACAGATAACAAAATGACAAGAGTAAGTTCTTACTTATCAGTAATAGCATTGAATGTAAATGGACAAAAATCTCCAATCAAAAGAGATACATTGACAGAATAGGTGAATAAATAAGACATATTGATCTCATGCCTACAGGAAACACACTTCACCTGTAAAGACACACACAGACTGAAAATAAAGAGATAAAAAATGATATTCCATGCCAATGGAGCCAAAAAAGTCAGGAGATGCTATCCTTATGTCAGACCAAATAGATTTCAAGACAAAACTATAAGATGAGACAAAAAAAGGTAACTATATAATGATAAAGGGGTCAAGTCAGCAAGCGTATATAACAACTTAAAATGTATGCTTCCTTTTTTTATTATACTTTAAGTTTGGGAATACATGTGCAGAAAATGCAGGTTTGTTACATATGTATACACGTGACATGGTAGTTTGCTGCACCCATCAACCCATCATCTACATTAGATATTTCTCCTAATGCTGTGCCTCCCCTATCTCCCCTCCCCTGGGCAGGCTCCAGTGTATGATGTTCCCCTCCCAGTGTCCATGTCTTCTCATTGTTCAATTCCCACTTATGAGTGAGAACATGTGGTGTTTGATTGCCTGTTCCTGTGTTAGTTGGCTGAGAATGATGGTTGCCAGCTTCATCCATGTCTCTGCAAAGGACACGAACCCATCCTTTTTTAATGGCTGCATAGTATTCCATCATGTATATGTGCCACGCTATTTTTATCCAGCCTATCATTGATGGGTGTTTGGGTTGGTTCCAAGTCTTTGGTATTGTGAACAGTGCTGCAATAAACATACATGTACATATGTCTTAATAGTAGAATGATTTAAAATCCTTTGGATATATATCCAGTAATGAGATTGCTGGGTCAAATGTTATTTCTGGTTCTAGATCCTTGAGGAATTGCCACAGTGTCTTCCACAATGGTTGAACTAATTTACACTCCCTCCAACCATGTAAAAGCATTCATATTTCTCCACATCCTCTCCAGCATCTGTTGTTTCCTAACTTTTTAATGATCACCATTCTAACCGGCGTGAGATGGTATCTCATTGTGGTTTTGATTTGCATTTTTCTAATGACCACTGATGATGAGTGTTTTTTCATATGTTTGTTGGTCGCATAAATGACTTCTTTTGGGAAGTATCTGTACATATCCTTCTCCAACTTTTTGATGGGGTTGTTTGTTTTTTTCTTGCAAATTTGCTTAAGTTCCTTGTAGATTCTGGATATTAGCCCTTTGTCAGATGGATAGATTGAAAACATTTTCTCCCATACTGTAGGTAGCCTGTTCATTCTGAAGTTAGTTTCTTTTGCTGTGCAGAAGCTCTTTGGTTCAATTATATCCCATTCATCAATTTTGGCTTTGGTTGTCATTGCTTTTGGTGTTTTAGTCAGGAGGCCTTTGCCCATGCCTGTGTCCTGAATGGTATTGCCTAGGTTTTCTTCTAGGATATTTATGGTTTAAGTCTTACATTTAAGTCTTTAATTCATCTTGAGTTAATTTTTGTATGAAGTGTAAGGAAGGGGTCCAGTTTCGGTTTCAGCATATGGCTAGCCAGTTTTCCCAACACCATTTGCTAAATTTGGAATCCTTTCCTTATTACTAGTTTTTATCAGGTTTGTCAAAGATCAGATGGGTGTAGATGTGTGGCATTATTTCTGAGGCCTCTGTTCTGTTCCATTGGTCTATATATCTGTTTTGGTAACAGTACCATGCTGTTTTGGCTACTGTAGCTTGGATTATAGTTTGAAGTCAGGTAGCATGATACCTCCAGCTTTGTTCTTTTTTGCTTAGGATTTTCTTGGCTATACGAGCTCTTTTTTGGTTTCATATGAAATTTAAAGTAGTTCTTTCTACTTCTGTGAAGAAGGTCAATGGTAGCTTGATGTGGATAGCATTGAATCTATAAATTACTTTGGGCAGTATGGCCATTTTCACGATATTGAGTCTTCCTATCCATGAGCATGGAATATTTTTCCATTTGTTTGTGTCCTCTCTTAATTCCTTGAGCAGTGGTTTGTAGTTCTGCTTGAACAGGTCCTTCACATCCCTTGTAAGTTTTATTTCTAGGTATTTTATTCTCTTTGTAGCAATTGTGAATGGGAGTTCACTCATGATTTGATCCTCTGTTTGCCTATTATTGGCGTATATGAATGCTTCTGATTTTTGCACATTGATTTTGTATCCTGAGACTTTACTGAAATTGCTTATCAGCTAAGGAGATTTTGGGCTGAGATGATGGGGTTTTCTAAATATACAATCACGTCATCGGCAGACAGGGACAATTTGACTTCCTCTCTTCCTATTTGAATACCCTTTATTTCTTTCTCTTGCCTGATTGCTCTGGCCAGAACTTCCAATACTATGTTGAATAGGAGTGGTGAGAGAGGTCATCCTTGTCTTGTGCTGGTTTTTAAAGGGAATACTACCAGCGTTTTCCCATTCAGTGTGATATTGGCTGTGAGTTTGTCATAACTAACTCTTATTATTTTGAGATGCATTCTGTGAATACCAAGTTTATTGAGAGTTTTTAGCTTGAAGGGGTGTTGATTTTTATTGAAGGCCTTTTCTGCATCTATTGAGATAATCTTGTGGTTTTTGCCATTGGTTCTGTTTATGTGATGGATTATGTTTATTGATTTGCATATGTTGAACCAGACTTCCATCCTAGGGTTGAAGCTGACTTGATCATGGTGGATAAGCTTTTTGATGTGCTGCTGAATTTGGTTTGTAAGTATTTTATTGAGAATTTTCTCATTGATGTTCATCATGGATATTGGCTTGAAACTCTTTTTTGTTGTTGTTGTGCCTGCCAGGTTTTGTTATAAGGATGATGCTGGCATCATAAAATGAGTAAACATTTATATTGTTTGGAATAGTTTCAGAAAGAATGACACCAGTTCCTTTTTGTACTTCTAGCAGAATTCCACTGTGAATCCGTCTGGTCCTGGGCTTTGTATTAATTAGTAGGCTATTAATTACTGCATCAATTTCAGAACTTGTTATTGGCCCATTCAGGGATTTGGCTTCCTTCTGGTTTAGTCTTGGGAGTGTGTATGTGTCCAGGAACTTATCCATTTTTTCTAGATTATCTAGTTTATTTGCATAGAGGTATTTATAGTATTCTCTGATGGTAATTTGTATTTCTGTGGGATCTGTGGTGATATCCCCTTTATCATTTTTTATCTATTTGATTCTTCTCTCTTTTCTTTTTTATTAGTCTGGCTAGCAGTGTACCTATTTTGTTAATCTTTTCAAAAAACCAGCTCCTGGATTCATGAATTTTTTGAAGTGTTTTTTTGTTTTCCTATCTCCTTTAGTTCTGCTCTGATCTTAGTTATTTCTTGTCTTCTGCTAGCTTTTTAATTTGTTTACTCTTGCTTCTCTAGTTCTTTTAATTGTGATGTTAGGGTGTCAATTTTACATCTTTCCCACTTTCTCCTGTGGACACTTAGTGCTATAAATTTATCTCTAAACTCTGCTTTAGCTTTGTCCCAGAGATTCTGGTATGTTGTATCTTTGTTCTCATTGGTTTCAAATAACTTATTTATTTCTGCCTTAATTTCGTTATTTACCCTGTAGTCATCCAAGAGCAGGTTATTCAGTTTTCATGTAGTTGTGTAGTTCTGAGTGAGTTTCTTAATCCTGAGTTCTAATTTTATTGCACTGTGGTCTGAGAGACTGTTATAATTTCCATTCTTTTGCATTTGCTGAGGATTGGTTTACTTCCAACTATGTGTTTAATTTGGTGATTTGGGGCTGAGAAAAATGTATATTCTGTTGACTTGGGGTGGAGAGTTCTGTAGATGTCTTGGGTCTGCTTGGTCCAGAGCTGAGTTCAAGTCCTGAATATCCTTGTTAATTTTTTGTCTCATTGATCTGTCAAATACTGACAGTGAAGTGTTAAATTCTCCCACTATTATTGTGTGGGAGTCTAAGTCTCTTTGTAGGTCTCTCAGAACTGAATCTGGGTGCTCCTGTATTGGGTGCATATACATTTTGGATAGTTAGCTCTTCTTGTTGCATTGATCCTTTTACCATTATGTAATGCTCTTCTTTGTTATTTTGATCTTTGTTGGTTTAAAGTCTATTTTATTAGAGACTAGGATTGCAACCCCTGCTTTCTTTTTTTTTTTTTTGCTTTCCATTTGTTTTGTAAAACTTCCTCCATCCCTTTATTTTGAACCTATATGTGTCTTTGCACATGTGATGAGTCTCTTGAATACAGCACACCAATGGGTCTTGACTCTTTATCCAATTTGCCAGTCTGTGTCTTTTAATTGGGGCATTTAGCCCATTTACATTTAATGTCTGCACCATAGACCAAATTGATCTAACAGATATTTACAGAACATTTCATCCAAGAGCTGCAGATTACACATTCTTTTCCTCAGCACATGGATATTCTCTAGAATAGACAATATGTTAAGACATAAACCAAGTCTTAAAACAATTTAAAAAACTAAAATAATATCAAGCATCTTCTGTTACCACAATGGAGTAAAACTGGAAATTAATAACAAGAGGAGTTTTGGAAACTATACAAATACATGTAAATTAAACAATATGTTCCTGAATGACCACTGGGTTCATGAAAAAATTAAGAAGAAAATTTTTTAAAAAATTTTAAACAAGTGATAATAGAAACAAATCATAACTACACCTAAGGGATACAGTGAAAGCAGTAAACAGAGGGAAGGCGATAGCTATAAGTGCCTACATGAAAAAAGAGAAAAATTTTGTAAATAAACAGTCTAATGATGCATCTTACATAGAACTAGAAAAACAAGAGCAAACCAAAATTAGTAGAAAAAAAGAAATAATAAAGATGAGAGCAAAAATAAGTAAAATTGAGATGATGAATCATAAAAAAATTAATAAAACAAAAAGTTGGTTTCTTGAATACTTAAACAAAATTGATGAACCTTTAACCAGTCTGTGAAAATAATTAAGAAAATCCAAATAAATAAAATCAGAAATAAAAAAAGATCTATTACAACTGATACCACAGAAATTCCAAGGATAATTAATGGCTACTATGAGCAAATACATGCCAATATACTGGTAAATCCAGAAAAAATGAACAAATTTCTAGATACATGCAACCTATCAAAATTGAATTAGGAAGAAATTCAAAACCTGGAAAGACCAATAACAAGTTATAAGATCAAAGCCATAATAAAAAGCTTCCTAGTAAAGGAAAGCCCGGGACCCATGGCTTTACTTCTGAATTATACCAAACATTTAAAGAAGAACTAATGTCAACCTTACTCAAACTATTCTGCAAAAAAAGGAGGGATTATTTTCAAACTTATTCTATGAGATTTCTATGAACCTGATACCAAAACCAAAAACACTTAAAAAAAAAACTACTGACCAATATCTCTGATAAATATTGATACACATATCCCCAATAAAATACAAGAAAACCAAATTCAACAATACATTAGAAAGATCACGCATCATGACCAAGTGGGTTTTATCCCTGATAAGCAAAGATGGTTTGATATATGCAAATCAATCAACATAATCCATTATATCAACAGAATGAAGGATAAAAACCTTATAATTATTTAAATTGCTGAAAAAGCATCTGATAAAATTCAACATCCCTTAATAATAAATACCCTCAAAATACTGGGTATATTAGAAACATACCTCAATGTAATATAAGCCACAATGACAGACCTACAGCTAGTATCATACTGAACTTGGAAAAACGGAAACCTTTCCTGCAAGATCTGGAACATGACAAGGATGTCCACTTTCACCACTTTTGTTTAACATAGTACTGGAATTCCTAACTAAACTAATCAGAGAAGGGGGAAAAAAAAATAAACGGCATCTAAATTGTAAAGGAAGAATTGAAATTATCCTTGTTTGCTGAAAATATGATCTTATATTTGGAAAAACTTAAAGACTCCACAAGAAAAATATTAGAACTGATAAATTTAGTCAAGTTATAGAATACAAAATCAACATACAAAAGTTAGTAGCATTTCTATATGCTGACAGTGAAAAATGTGAAGAAGAATTTAAAAAATTATATTTATAATAGCCACACATAAAATAAAATACATAGAAAATAACCAGGAAAGTGAAAGATCTCTATAATGAAAACAATAAAAGACTAATGAAAGAATTGAAGAAGACACAAAAAATGTAAAAATATTCCATGTTCATGGATCAGAAGAATAAATATTGTTGAAATGTCCATATTACCCAAAGCAATCTACAGATTCATTGCAATTCCTATCAAAATACTAATGACGTTCTTCACAGAAATAGAAACAAACAATCCTAAAAATTATATAAAATCACAAAAGACTCAGAATAGCCAAAGCTATCCTAAGCAAAAAGTACAAAAGTGGAGGAATCATATTACCCGGCTTCAAATTATAGTATAGAGCTGTAGTAACCAAAATAGCATGGTACTGGCAGAAAAACAGGCACATAGATGAATGGAATAGAATAGAGAATCCAGAAACATATCTGCACACTTACAGCTAACTCATTTTTGACAAAGATGCCAAAAATATTCACTGGAGAAAAGACATTGTCTTCAATAAATGGTGCTGGGAAAACTGGATATCCACATTCAGAAGAATGAAACTGAACCCCTATCTCTCGCCACAGTCAAAAATCAAATCAAAATGGATTAAAGACTTATATCTAAGACCGGAAACCATGAAATTAACTACCAGGAAACATTGGGGAAATTTGCCAGGACATTGGTAAGGGCGAAGATTTCTTGAGCAATAACCCATAAGCTCAGGCAACCAAAGCAAACATGGACAAATGGGATTACATCAAGTTAGAAAGCTTCTGCACAGCAAAGAATACAATCAACAAAGTGAAGAGACAATCCAGAGAGTGGAAGAAAATATTTGCAAACTATCCCTCTGAGAAGGGATTAATAATTGTATAAGGAGTTCAAACAACTTTAGGATAAAATCTAATAATTCAATTTAAATAATGGCCAAAAGATTTGAATAGACATTTCTCAAAAGACATATGAATGGCAAACAAGCATATGAAAAAGTGCTCAAAATCATTGATCACCAGATAAATGCAAATCAAAACTACAATGAGATGTAATCTCACCCCAATTAAGATAGTTTGGATCCAAAAGAAAAGCAACAAGTGCTAGTGAGGATGTGGAGAAAAAGGAAGCCTCATATAATATTGGAAGGAACGTAAATTAGTACAACCATTATGGAGAACAGTTTGGAAGTTCCTCAAAAAGCTACAAATTTAGCTACCATAAGATGTGGCAGTGTCACTGCTGAGTATTAACCCCCCAAAAAGGGAAATCAGTGCATCAAAGAGATATGTGCACTCCTATGCTTGTTGAAATACTGTTTACAATAGCTAAGATTTGGAAGAAACCTATGTGTATATCAACAGATAAATGGATTTTTTAAAATGTCGTACATATACACAATGGAGTACTTTTCAGCCATAAAAAAATGAGATTCTGTCCTTTGCAACAATATGGATGGAACTGGAGATCATTATGTTAAATGAAATAAGTCAGGCACAGAAAGACAAACATTGAATGTTCTCTCTTATTTGTGGGATCTAAAAACCAAAACAATTGAACTCAAAAAAGCTGTGCTTTTTGGAAGGCAGCTTAGACATTGGCATTAGACCAAGTTGACTTAGAATTTGTACTCTAATTCACTACGTGTGTGCAATCCTCAAATACCCACTTGATTTCTCCAGGTCAAATATTCTCATCCATAAGCTAGAAAAATTATACTAATATCCATAGTTATTTTAACCTTATAATAATAGACTTTCAAAAAATGTTAATTTCTCCCCTTCCTTCCCTAATCTTCCAGAGCTGTAGTTTTGAAAGCTGAGAAATGGCCTTCGTCTGCTAGGAAAGGTATGTTTAAGTGTACTAGATAAGTGGGAAGGGTTCTAGATAGGTTTCATGGGATATGTGGTAGAGGAGGCAAAAAAAAAAAAAAAAGATGAATAAAGTAATTGTCTAGATTTTGTGAGAGTTCAGCTGAGCTTGAAAAAGTGTGAATTCAGAGAGACAGTAGCTTACTAACCACAACCCCAGATACTGTCTTCTTAATGGCATCTTTATGACTCTAGATAGGTATCTCGTTCCCTGAAGAGGTAATAATGTATAAAAACCAGGAGTGGCCAAGACCCTGGAATAAGCCTGCCTGCTCAAAGAGTACATAACCAACAATATATTGCTTTGTGTGAGCTGTTACAGATAAGCCCTCCAATAATCCTTAGGGATTCATGTTTTATTTCAGATCATGAGTTTTAAATCATGCACAATTTCTCAAAAGACAATTGTGCTATCTCCTTGACCAGTGAGTCACTTACACACTTTTAGCTGGTTGACAGCATTTTGTGACTGAAATGTAAGAAATTAATGCTATTTAGAAAGATAAGATAACTTTTATTTTCCCTCTTTAATACTTATGAAGCTTAGCTTGCCAGGGGAAAACATATTATTTAGGCATCTGTAATTGAATGGAAGATGAAGTTTCTCCATGTTTAATGAGAAGATGCAGTGCAGCCCATGAAGACAGGGTTTATGCTCTGGGCTGCTTATGCCCTAAATTGTTACATTAATAATAACCAAGGTTTGGAAATCTCCTCAGGCAAGCATATGTTGTATGTAACTCACAGAATAGAAGAACATAATAACTCATGTAGTCTCCAAACTTGCCTTTAGAAGTTAGAGGAATACATGTGCACATGTACCCTAAAACTTAAAGTATAATTTAAAAAAATAAAAAAATAAATAAATAAATAAATAGAAGTTAGAGGAATAACGGGGGCAAGGAAGTTGTTTTTGGCAGGTGAGAGAAAGGCTTTTCTGCCACTGGGAAAATGTTGCTTCTCTTTAGAGAAAAAAAAAAAATGTTGCCTTATTTACAATTGTGTAACATTGAAACAGAATTAAATTTGTACTATACATTTTCTGCCCTAAGGACTTGTTTTTTTAAAGGTAAGCATTGAAACGCATGGCATTAGAAATAAGCAAAATAAACTTTTTAATATTGATTTTATTTAATATGCTGTATTTAAATATTCATGACTTGAAAACAAATGCAAATATATACAAAATAAAAAACTATAAATTGCTGGCAGGCTGACATTGGACTAATAATAGCAATATCCTACCCATTTAGTTTATTTGATCATTTGATCCTCAAAATAACTTTATAAGGTGAATAGGATTCTGTGTGTTAAATTTGAAAAGATTCAGGATTAGTAAGGCAAATTAACTTTCCCACATCAAAAATCAGCAGAGACTAAGGAAGAATTCAAATTCACACTCTTAACATAAATATATTGTGTATATGTATATATGTATATATACATAGCAGATATAGATGCAATATTTATTGCAAATACATTGAAACAAATATACATTATTGTATGATATACTATTGATTTTTATTCCCTAAATTTCATATCCTCCACCTTAATTACACTCTTTCAAGTGGCGAAATAAAGCAGACATACTATCAATAGGAACATCTTGCATTTGTGGCCAAGTAGATATGAAAGCTATTTTAAAGAACAGAATTAAAAATACTTGGTATGTACATTTTTAATGCTTGGATTTGTTCCAGTCAATTTGAAGAATGGCTAAAGGTAAGCTTGTATTAACTAAAAATAATTTTACTTTTAAGGAATTCAATTTAGCTCTATGTTTGTTTCTTCTAAACAAAAGCTGATCTCTATTTACCATCAAATAGACTAGTAGATTAGCTAGATTATGAAATTTATATATGAGAAAATCAGTCATTTCTTACCCTGTATTGTTCTGATTTTATTATTTTTTCCACAAGTGTATATATGTATATGTGTATATTATATATGTGTATGTATTTATACTATATATGTATGCATATGTATATCCTGTAAAATACAAAGCCCACAAAGGAAGCTTCAAATGAGAGATCACTTAGAGCTACAGAGTACTGTGCTGATGATGTATCTTGCAAAAATAAAATACAGAGTCTGTTCCCATATTTTTAGGTCAATAAATCCACTAGTGACAATGGATCAGAGATTGTTACTATAGAGGACTAACTCATACTAACTAAAAGTACAGGAATTCAATACACTATCAAGCACATTATTTTTTTATGGTGACATGCAAATTTAACTGAAGAATGGGATGCTTTTGCCAACTTTCCAGTGATTCGTATCTCTTGAAAGGTTACAAGGAGATATAAAATTAGCAGTAATTTAATTAAATATTTATTGATCATTTTATCAATACCAAATATTTTTATGTGGCTTGAAAAGTTTAAAACTTGAACAAATTAATGAGATTAATTCAGTAGAGGATAATTTATTTAATGAATATTTTTTGCAATACTAAATAATAACAACTTAGGTTTTTTATATCAGTCACCTAACTTCAAAATATTGAATTATTTGGCTTTCTTTCATTTTGCTTTAAATTCTCATAATGCATTCCTAGGCATGAAGTTCGTACAATAATTCCAGATTTTATCTGGGAGATACCTCCATCGTGATCACATTAGCTTCCATCTTTTAACTTGTTATTTAAGTGGTCAGTTTTTTTTTTTTCTGAATGTGTTTGATTTAATCTGTTAGGAAGGTTTGGGTATTTTTTTTCTCCCAAATCTTAAGAGAATATCACTTTTCATTTTATCACAAAATTCTGGGTTAACCTTTGTGAAACGATTATGCTTTGATTGAGTATGTTCTCTGTATGTGAATGTTTGTGCCTCTTTCTATTTCCGTAGTTTAAATAATTCAAATATATACCCAAAATGAATCAAACAAGTTATTCAAGATTTGAATTCATAACAATTTTTGAAGATGACCTACATTACATATTGGTAGGTAGTATGTAGTTTAGGCCTCATGATCTTTGAGAAAATCTATTTCCAGATTTATGTCTAAAAATTTAATTATTACACATTTTTTTCATAAAGAAGAATTCTAAAGTCTCCATGTAGCTGTTCATTTGGCGTTTTATTTTATATTTAATCACCATTTTCTTTAATAGGGCTGTACATTTTATGATTACATACTCTGATAATTGATGCCATTTTATCTTGCCTTAATACACAGTAATTTGTTATTTATGGATATATGAAACACATTATTTTGCTGAATAAATCTTCAAGCATGAGCTTCAATTATACGAATTACAAGACAATTGGAATTGCATAGATATAACTGCACTCTACAGAGTAACACTGAGCCTTTGCCCTTCCTAGCTGGACATAGGATTCTTGGGATGTAGCAAAATTCACGGAAAACATAGGAACTACAAGTCAGATAATAAATGTTTCAAAGTAAATTAACTTTAAATATGTTAGGATGATGAAGAACATAAGAAGAATAATGAGAATCGGTAATAGCAGCAGGTTTGGGACTGGTAGGAATTGGTAGAGTCGAGTTAAAAGCTGACAAGCACACAAGCTTGTCATGTTGAAGGAACTGAAAGAAAAGCAGTCTTGCTAGTAAACAAGTTGTGTTGATTCTTTAGGTGATGTAACAAATTACCACAAACTTAGTGAATTTAAAAAAAATACAGTTATTGTTTAATAGTTTCTGTGAGTCAGAAGTCCTGGAAGAGCTTATCTGGGTCCTCTGTGAGACTGCAGTAAAGTTTTTGACCAGGACTGAGTTATCTCCTGTCGACTGAATTGGGGAAGGGTCCACTTTTAAGCTCACTCAGGTTTTTTGCAGGATTTATTTTCTTGGAAATGTAAGATTCACTGAAGCTTGCTTCTTTAAAGTCATCTAGAATAAAAATACTTTAAGTGAGAAAACAAGATGAAGCTTTAATTAGCATAACAGAATCGAAAGGTTCATATTCCATCATCTTTGTCATATTCTATTGGTGAGAAGGAAGTCACCAATCCTGTCAACACTGTAAGAAAAGGGACTATACAAGGGTGGGAGGTGAAAAATATTGGAGCCACCCAAACGGGGGTGCAAAATATGCAATATTTATGAACAAATGGTTAAAGGATAGATAATATTGACCCAGGTTAACAACAATAAAATATTTTATTGATTTTAAGAAGACTTTGCAAGGCTTTTGGCAGGAGATTGGCATGACCCAATGTGCCTTTTAAAAAGTAGATTTTGGATATATCAAACTGGTCATTAGACAGCTTACTTTACCTCCTCCCCCTTATGATGAGAAAAAAAAATTCTAATTTAATTATAGAAATACAAAAAGAATTATGAAGTAATCTCAGGAGTTATGAAAGATTAATATGTTAGGCTATATGCATGCACTCTTCTATTTAGTTCCTACAATAGACCTGGAAATTAAATACTATGACATCCTATTAAATGTAAGATAATTGGGGCAGAAAATAGTATTGTTTTGCCTGGTATCATAGGCTAGTAACAAGCTATGCCTACATTTGAATATAGAGTTATATTTTACCCTCTTTAACCATGCCTTTCCCAAGGAATCAAGCTTTAATACCAATTAGCTTTCTACAAATTTTCAATTTAATAGTAGTACTTTCCCAAAGCGGAGAAATAGAGAAAAAATTTTTTTTGAGAAATCCTGGACGATCTTGAGTGCATAACTGTATATCTGAATCCAGGCTTTCTTAAAAATGTATTTGGAATTTTAAAAGTCAATTATTTATAAACCTCTATGATTCTAAACTCCTATGATTCAACTATTTATAAACTCCTATTCTAGTCACAGAATCTTGCTAACTAAAGGTATTCAATAGATTTTAAATGATAGCAACTTATTGAAATTCTACTTTTAATAATATTGGCAATATTCAGGTACTTGTTAGGTCACCTATCATTATGTACTGTATTGTTGAATCATAAAATATGTATGAAAATATTATTTTATTCCCATTTTTAAACAATAAATTTAATATAGAATCAAAAAATCTTTAAAAAATTGAAATTTAGAAGTCTTAATGGCATCCTTTACAGATATTGTCATTATAATACTTAAATAATATTTAAATAATATCTAAATAATATTTTTTAAACTCATGAGAAAATGTATATATATTTGGACTCATTTGTTCATTAACAAAAAAATTTATATATGTGTATATGATTGACATATTTATTTTCCAAGAGACTGATGAGGGTAGTTATTTTCTACACATATAAGCAAATGGTCAGTAGTACAATCAGTATAATGAAAATGATGATAACTAATATTTATTTAGATTTTATTATATACAAATATTGAAATAATAAATGTTTAATGTATGGATTATTTAAATAATTTCATAATCATAGTTACTTGCTACTATATTGATTATGAGGATTTAATAATATCAATCAGCCTAGGATGTGTATCTAGTAAGAAGTTGAGTTAAAACGTAATTACTGGGTTTCTTAAGCATTATCTGTGCACCATACTGAGTATTCAAGATATATCAATAGTAGTAGAGACAGATGGTTGTTTCCATACCGTTTCTCTTAATTTAGGGATCATTATATTTGAGAAAAGTATACCTAGAAGCTCTGAGCAGTCTACACAAAAGAGATCAAAGATAGCCTGTTGCATATTTTGGTACTACCTCTTCCCACAGTTGCCCATAACATTCATCACTGATCCATCAAAATTAGTCAAACTGAGCCACAATAGAGTCTTAAATTTGTTTTGAATAGAGTGGAAATTCAATTACTACACAAGACCAAAGTTAGAAAATGCAAGAGAATACATTGGTCATTCTTGAACTAAACTGTAACTATTCATACTTTTTCTCCATCAGCACAAAACCATTGAAAACAGGAACTGATAAAACTTAAGGAAACATCCTAGAATTTCTCTGTGGGAATAATGGAATTCAGTTGGGGATGAGGGGCCAGTGCTCTCTCCAAGTCTCTTATTCTAATTTTCTTTCACAAATGTGAAAGAATTAGATATTGAAGATCACCTGATGAAAGGCAGTCTTATTTGTTTTTAGCTATGGTTTCAGAACAAAACAGCTTAAACACTTTTGAAAATGTATATAAAACTGTCTCTAAGCAAATTAATCCATATTTGTGCCCTTGGGGAAAGCAACATTTCAAATGTCCAGTTCATAATTAAGCTATTTATAACTACTTTATATACCTATGTATTATTAAACATAATGCACAGGGACTTAGTTTTGTATGTGTATATATTTTCACTTTTTTCACACTCTAAAATATTTTTAATGTGAAAACTACAGGCAATTTTCAAACGTTAACAAAAATTTACATCTCATAACTTGAATAACTCCCTTCATTTTTATTTTTAGAAGGTGAATGTCATATCTTGAAATTTTGAAAAAATAATTGCCAAATAATACTTTAAGTTAATGTAATTTAATTGTTTTTGATTTAACAAATATTTATTGAACTTTTACTGTATCCAAAATTTGACACTAGACATCTTAAAATGGTAGAATTTAATTTAAATCATTAAAATGTTATTCAATTCTTCTACCTTTTCTGTAAACCCAGCAATTGAATGCTGTTGTTTTCTTCTGACCTCAATTAAGCAAAATGTCAGAAAGTCATAGGATTTCTGTCTAGTCTAAGTTGTACCAGTCTGAAAAGCAGATAAATATAAATATAGATGAAAGCTCTGAAAATGTTTTCCTTCTATCCAACACAAGTGATGCTAAATAGCAATAAGTTTTAATCAACAGAACAGATTGTATTTATTTGGACTGCAATTTGATATTTGAAGGAAAAGTCTCAATTTCCAATATTTTATTTCATTTTTACCTTTGAGCTCATGATCTCTTTCTGGTCAAAAAACTTGCTACGAAAGGATTCCATTGCTTAGTGCCATGTGCCCTCATGTGCTTAGTTTATGAAATGCATGGCTTGAAGTCATCCAATCAAATGCATGGCATGAGGTCACATTCTAATACAAAACATTAAAAGTTGTAATCTAATTATATTTCCTGATATGGTGTGTAGATATATAGATATATCCAGAGATATATCTATATGTATGTGTGTATGTGTCTGTGTCTGTGTGTATAACATACACATATATGTGTGTATATAGGTATACAACTACATATGGAAATGTAAAAATGGAAAGGACAAAATCACCATAGTTATTCATTTTTTAAGCATAATTTAAACGTAAGAGGGATAATGAAATTTACCAATCAATAATAAACTCTTCTGAAGAAGTTTCTATTTCTTGAGGGAATAAAAGAAATATTCTTTGTTTGTTTTTTACTTACAGCCTATTGACCAAATTAGACTGACTTTAGAGTGATTTTTGTGTCTTATTATCAATCTCCTTGATTGGTTGAGATAATGTTGAAAAAGATTGAATCAGTAAAATCAAGGTGTTCTCAGAAAGGTTTTCCATAAGCCATCTGCACTGTGGTTGATATATTAATTACATAATATCTCCATAGAAATAGAAATGAATGGTGGAATAACCTATCTCCATCAAGCTGGGAGTTCTCAATTATTAATATTTTTAATATTATTTATAACTTTTAATTATGCTTTATGTTTTCTGAACCACTAAAAATGTTGCCTTGAATGCGTATGTGTATACATATGTACAAAGCTATATTTCATACATATACTAAATATATAAAATATTGTTTTATATATGTATATGTACATTTTGTATATATACAACATATATGTGTATAAAATATAGTTCTATATAAATATATGTATATATGTAGTATATATGAAATAAGAATCTCTTCAGAAGTTTATTAGCAATTTGTGAGCTTCATTGTCTGTCTCACACATATATATTTATGTATATGTATATGTGCATACTTATACATATGGTATATATAGATATATCTATATACTATATGTGTGACATATATACATATATACACACACACACACATAAAATGTAGTTTGAATGTGTGTGTGTAGAGATGGAGTCTCATTATATTACCCAGGATGGACTCAAATACCTGGCCTCAAGTGCCTCAAACTCCTGGGCTCAAGTGATCCTCCTGCCTCAGTCTCCCAAATAGGTGGGATTACAGGCATATGTCATCACATTCAGCTTGAAGTTATACTTAAAATTTGAATAACTATAGTAAATATGCCCCTTGCATTTTTATATTTATTTAGAGCAAGAAAAAATCTCTGTGCCACCCTGTGCATTTAAGCTAGTTTGCAAATGATAACTCTATTATTAGCTTGCATTGGTGTACTGAATGTACATAACAGCTATCTTTCTGAAAAGATTGGTTTACACAGATCTAAATGATGATGATGACAATAATAATGATGGTGGTGGTGGTAATAAAGAGTTTAATTACATTATTTCAGGTGTAGTATATGCCAGTCACTTTATCAACCATTTCCCATGCTTTTCTCATTGAAAATGAGATAGGTATTATTATTACTTCATTTTCCAGTTGAAAAATAAAATTCAGAGGGGTTAAGTTACATACGGCTCATGAGATAAAATCCTACTGAGAGCAGGATTCCAAGTCTGTTCAGCTCTAGAAGTTTAAAATAACGACTATTTTAAACAAGCTTTTTATCACTAGCTGTTATCATATCTTGTGAAAGAGAAAATGATCATTATCAGAGAATTCTTTTTTATGACAAAAATCTTTTGGGGATGGAAATAACCACAACCTAATTGCATGTGTGCAGGCTGGACCTTATATGTAAGGATAATATTTTTCAATTCAAATTTCATAAAGTAATAGAGATACTATGTTGTTTTTAAGAATATATACATATATACATATCTTACTTTTACTACTTTTTAAGTGTGTCATTGTGCCTCAGTTAGCTACTCTGATTCTCAATAATCTGAAAATTACAGATGTTCATAAAACCTGGTTTATACAATGTCTTAATTATTAAGTAGAAAGTGCTTAGCATAGTACTAGGCAAAGCTTAAGTGTTCAAATATGAGTTATTTTGTTATTTGTTTTTTGTATTTTTCCAATCCGTAGACCTTAGCTGGACATTTATTTGTAGTCAGCTAGCTGATTTGTTTTTTCTTTCTACATCTCAAGACTTTGCTGACACAAATCAATAGCCAGAGGCTAGCATTAGAATAATGAAGTAAAGAAACAAATCAATATTACTTTATATCAAACAGTAAAAAAGACGCAATTGTCTGCTATCAATGGCATATGCAAGAAGAGAATTGTGTAAGAGAAACACTGATACCTGGATCAGTTGGGTTTTCTATTCCATAAATTCTTAATTATAACATTCCATGACTTGAAAAAATGATTGAGAATAGTTATTAGCTATTCCTATTATTTAGTAAATGCAGGTAACCAGCCATCCCTATTAAAAAACAACAACAACAACAATGTAAAACAAAGAAAAACTGAATCAAAGATTAATTGTATGAAATATTCTTAATTAAAATTGATTATACTTACCAAGTCATCTATTATTTTATCAGCTAAACTGCAGTTTTCAATTAAAATGGGAGACTTGATTTATTTTAATGAACAACATGGCAAGTCCCTCACCCCTGAAATTTAAGTGACTTACCTATATCTCAGATTGGCAAAAATAATTATATTTCCCTATGACAGTAATGAGCCACGTTCTAATACAACCACCTTACATTTCTCTACAGCATGAATTTTTCCTAACATTCTACATTTTTTCAACCCTGATCTCTATCCAAATTTTGTCAAGAAATATGAACCAGGGGGCCAGAAAAAAACTCTTTGTGGGTTAACTACTTCACGAATAATTTCATTATTGTATATTTTCTAATTGACAAATGGAATGTGTCACAACAGTTCAAGAGAAATGATGGGAAATATTTTCATTATTTTAGTATTATAATAAGATAGGCAAGGCCCTGAGGCATTCATAATTTTTTGATTAAATGACTTGAATGTCTCTTGTACAACTATGTACTATTTGTTATTTGTTATATTTATTATACTAGTCATGTGTGGACAAACATCCTTCCTTCTTGCTTTTCATCTTGCTTTCTAAAATTACACTGAGTAAATTTAGATTATCACGTGTGAATTTCTTGAATTTAACATCCCTAAGTCTAAAAATTGTCTGTGTGTATACATAACTTACTGGATTCTCAGAGAAATGTTGTCGTTTTTCCTTTTTGTCATCCTTTCATATGTACCTTCAACTTTGTTTAATCTCCTGAGAGTATGTTGCATGTTTTACCTTTGGACTTGGTGTAACTTTAATCTGTTCGTCTTTTTCCTCTTTAATGGTCTCATATCTTCCTGACTAATCCTCTTTTGTAATCCTCCTTTCCATAGGAATTTTCTCAGAGATCCATCCTTCCCCTGATTCATGTTGAATCACGTAACTCTCACAAATACTATGGCTTCATAAATACTATGGTGTTCTCTGCTGGCTACTGTATTGGCCTCCAAATACATTTTATACTACAATATTCTTCTGCATTACAAATATACTGTAAAACTTCCTACAAGTCATCTCTTCCTGCATGTTCCATATAACCTCTAACTCTAGCTCAGTATATTTAATAAACTCTCTTTCCTCTCTAAACTATGCTCCTCCATTTTCCCCTATACATCATTTACACAATTTCAAGAGAATCTTAGAAGTAAAATCAAATCTTATCCTTGAAATTAGCTTCTCTCCTAATGTGTATACTGCTTCAGTATTTTAAACTTTATTTAATTATAGTTGATATACACTAAATATTGCATCTTTAATGAATATAATTTGATAAATTTGATATGTATACACTTCTGAAATCATTACCACATTCAAGATAATCACTGAAAAGTTTTCTCATGGCTTTTTATAAACTCCCTCCTGCTGCTCCTCACAACCCTAATGCTTTGTCCCTGTGTCCAAATGCCACTGATCTATTCTCGATATATATATATATTGAATATATAGATCAGTGCTATTTGGTCACAGAAGCACAGCATTAAAAATATTTAGTGTATAAGAATACTTTACATTACATTGCATCTGATAGGTGATTTTTTTTATCCCTTGCCTTCCTCCCACACTGCACACTTCTGAGTCTCCAGTGTTCATTATACCACTCTGCATGCCTATGTGTACCCAAAGCTTAGCTCTCGCTTATAAGTGAGAACATGTGGTATTTGGTTTTTCATTTCTGAGTTACTTCACTTAGGACAACGGCTTCCAGTTCCATCCAAGTTGCTGCAAAAGACATTATTTCATTTTTTTATGGTGTAGTAGTATTCTGGGGTGTGTATATACTACATTTTCTTTATCCACTTATCTGTTGATAGAAAATTTGATTCCATGTCTTTGCAATTGTGAATTGTGCTGTGATAAACAAATGAGTAAAAGTGTCTGTTTGACATAATTACTTCTTTTCCTTTGGGTAGATACCCAATAATCGAATAGCTCAATCGAACGTTGATCTACTCTTTGTTACTTGAGAAATTTCCATACTATTTTCCGTAGATGTTGTGCTCATTTACATTTCCACCAGCATGTATAAGTGTTTCATTTTCACCACATTCGCACCAATAACCAATATCTACTGTTTCCTGACTTTTTAAAACTGGCCATTCTGACTGGGGTCAGGTGGTATGTCATTGTGGTTTTATCTTTAGTTTTAGTTTTCAGTTTAGTGGTTTTTTATTTGTTTGTTTTTGTTGTTTGTTTGTTTGGAGTTTTTTTTTTTAGACAAAGTCTTCTCTGTTGCACAGGCTGGAGTTAAGTGGCAAAAACATGGCTTCAAACTCCTGGGTTCAAGTGATACTCCCGCTTTAGCCTCCTGAATAGCTGGGATTTCCGGCACATGCCACTACACCCACTGATTTTTTTATTGTTTATTTTTTTGTAGAGACAAGGTCTTTCTGTGTTTCCCAGGCTGGTCTCAAACTTCTGACTTCAAGTGGTTCTCCCACTATGGCCTTCCAAAGTACTGAGATTACAGTCATGAGCCACCACACCTAGCCTTCATTGTGACTTTGATTTGCGTTTTCCTGATTAGTAATGTTGAGCATTTTTTTATGTTTGTGGGCCATTTATTTATCTCCCTTTGAGAAATGTCTATTCATGTCGTTTGCTCACTTTTTAATGGGGTTATGTGTTTTTCATTCTTGCTGATATGCTTGAGTTCCATGTAGATTTCGTATATTATTCCTTGGTCAGATATGTAGTTAGTGAGGATTTTCTTCCGTTCTGTAGGTTGTGTATTTACTCTGTTGATTAGTTCTGTTTTCTGTGCAGAAGCCTTGTTTTTTAACAATTATCCATCCCCATTTTATTTTTCTTGTTGAACTCTTATTTATGCTTCAAGACCCAGATCTAATAGTTCTCTCTTTCTGAAACTTTTCCAGGCTCATCGAAGCAGAGGTTTTTACGCTTTCTTTGTGTAGTCACTCAACTCTTATTGCATGCATCTCAGAGGAGTGTATTTTTATGTTTGTCACTGTATAGACACAAGTCATGTCTATTTTATTTTTGTATGCCTTAGAAACTTATATTGTTTATACAGAATAGCAATAATCACAATTGCTTTTTTAAATCAGATATCCCAGCTCTTCACCTTTCAGTCCTGTGATAAGACTACACTTCCCTACCCTCTTTGGGCTTTTTGGGTTGTGTGGGGCCATGTTACTAGTAATGATCAATGACTTGTGAACAAAAAAATCCTACATCACTTCTTTGACAGACCTTTTCTGAAAAGAGACTCTTCAGAACACTATTATCTTTCCACAGCAACTAGCAATGCTCTAGGTGGCAGTTTATCTTGTAGCCTAGATTCAGGAAAACATGAGTTAGAGACTACAACTCAGTTGAGATGAATACATAGCATGAATTAAAAATAACTTTTTTGTTAATAAATTTCCTTTTTAATTTTTTTGATAATTGACAAATTATGGTTGTATAGATTTATTGAGTAAAAACTTACATTATGATTTATGAATATAATGTGGAATAATTAAGCTAATTATATATCATCTCAAATGCTTATTATTTTTATGGTGAGAACATTTGAAATTTACTCTTCGTGATTTTTAAATGTACAAAATGCTATTATTAACTGTATTCACCACATTGTGGAAATAAATCACAAAAAAACACCTGTTACCTCTTCTAACAAAAACTTTGTACCCCTTGGCCATCATCTTCCTATTCCCCTCACTCCCTAGCCTCTCGTAATCATCACCCTACTCTCTGCTTCTATAAATTTGATTATTTTTAATTCCACATATGTGAGAATTTTTCCTGTTGTGCCAAACTTAATTCACTAAGATTAACATCCTCCAATTCCATTCAAGTTGTTGCAATTGACAGAATTAATTTTTATAAAATATATTGACATAAAATACTTTTTACAGAATAAATTGACATAAAAATTACAGAATTAATTTTTTATTTATTTTTATAAAGGCTAAATAGTATTCCATTGTGTATATGTACCACTTTATCCATTCATCTGTTGATAAACTGTTAGGTGGATTCTGATTCCATAATTTGCCTTTTATGAATAGTGCTGCAATGAACATAGGAATGCAGACATCTTTTTGACATACTGATTTCAATTTTGTGGTGGTAAGTATCCAGAAGTGGGATAGCAGGATAATATAGTCATTTTATTTGTAATTTTTTGAGGAACTTCCATACAGTTTTCATAATGGCTTACTAGCATTTGTTAGCTTTCATTTTTTTTGATAATAGCCCTTCTGGGAGATTTCCAGTGACGTCTCATTGTAGTTTTAGTTTGTATTTCCTTAATGATTAGTGATGTTGAGCATTATTTCATATGTATGTTGACTATATGTATGTCTTCTTTTGAGAAATGTTTATTCAGGTCTCTTGCCTGTTTTCTTTTATTATTATTATTATTATTATACTTTAAGTTTTAGGGTACATGAGCGCAACGTGAAAGTTTGTTACATGTGTATACATGTGCCATGTTGGTGTGCTGCACCCATTAACTCGTCATTTAGCATTAGGTATATCACCTAATGCTATCCCTCCCCCCTCCCCCCACCCCACAACAGTCCCCGGTGTGTGATGTTCCCCTTCCTGTGTCCATGTGTTCTCATTGTTCAATTCCCACCTATGAGTGAGAACATGCGGTGTTTTATTATTTGTTTTCTTTATATAGGCTCATTTGAGTTACTACCATAGTTTGGATATGTACCCCTTGTCAGATATATGGCTTGCAGATAGCTTCTGCCAGCCTAAATGTTGCCTCTTCACTCCGTTAATTGTCATCTCTGTTGTTCAAAATCTTTTTATTTTGATGAAATACCATTTGTCTATCTTTGATTTTGTTGTATGCACTTTAGGGGTCAAATCTAAAAATTAATTCCCCAGACAAATGTTTTGTAGTGTTTCCTTTATATTTTTTTCTAGTCATTTTATAATTTCATGCCTTACGTTTAAGTCCTTAATCCAATTTGACTTGATTTTTGTATTTGGTGTGAGATAAGAGTCCAATTTCATTTTTCTGAATATGAATATCCAGTTTTCCCAACACTATTTATTGAGGAAACTGTCCTTTCTGGAGGTTTATGTGATTCCATAGGAATTTTAGAATTGCCTTTTCTATTTTTATATAAAAAAAAGTCATGGGACTTTTGGTAAGAGTCGCACTGAATCTGTAGTTCACTTCGGGTAATATGGGCATTTTAACAATATTTATTCTTTCTATTCATGAACATATGATGTCTTTGCATTTATTTATATCTTCTTCAATTTCTTTCATTAATGTTTTATAGTTTTCATTGTACAAGTCTTTCACTCACCCTGGTTATATTTATCCCTAAGTGTTCCATTTTTATAATCATTATAAATGGGATTGTTCTCTTTTTTAAAAATTTAGTTGTTAGTGTATAAAAATGCTACTTGTTTTGTGTGTTGACAATATTTGGTAATTCAAAGTCAAGGCTGTAACATTACCATATTATTTGTTAGTTCTAATGGTTTTTTGGTGGGATCTTTAGAGTTTTCTATGTATAAGATCATGTTGTCAGAAAACAACAACTATTTTATGTTTTTCTTTGGTATTTTGATGCATTTTATTTCCTTCTCTTGCCTAATTGCTCTGTCAAGGGCTTGTAATACTGCGTTGAATGGGAATACTGAGAGTGGGCATACTTGTTTTGTTTCAGATTTCAGAGGAAGGCTCTCAATTTTACATCATTGAGCATAATGTTAGCTGTGGGCTTATGATCTGTAGTCTTTATTTTGTTGAGGTACACTCCTTCTATAGCTAATTTGTAGAGAATTTTTTTTCCTAAAAGTATGTAGAATATCGTCAAATGTTTTTTCTACATGTAATGAGGGGATCATATCATTTTTGTCTTTTATTCTGTTAATGTGATGTATCACATTTATTGATATGTGTATATTGAACCTTTCTTGCAGCCCAGGGGTAAATTCCATTTGGTCATAATCAGTGATTCTTTTATTTTGTTTTTTAATTTAGTTTGCTGGTATTCTGTTGAGAATTTTGCATCTATGTTCATCAAGAATATTGGCTGTAATTTTTTTTTCTTATAGCATTCTTATTTTCCTTTAGTATCAGCATGTGCTGATCTCATAAAAAGAGTTTGGAAAAAACAGTTTTTCTTTGATGTTTTTAGAAGAGTTTGTAAATAATTGGTTCTGTTTTTTTAAATGTTTGATAGAACATGAGAAGCCAAGAGGTCCTGGCCTTTTCTTTGATGAGAGACTTTTCATAACGGGTTCAATCGTACTTTTCATTGGCCTGTTCAGATTTGGTATTTCTTCATGATTCGGTCTTGTTTGTTGTATGTGTCTAGGAAGTTATCTATTTCTTCTAGGTTGTCTAATTTGTTGGCATATAATTGTACATAGTAGTCTCTTCTGATCCTTTGTATGTCGGTGCTATAACTGTAATGTCTCCTCTTTCATTTCTGATTTTAAGTCCTCTCTCTTTTTTTTTCTTACTCTAGCTAATGATTGGTGAGTTTTGTTTATTCTTTGTTTTTTAATTAAACAACTCTTAGTTTTATTGATCAAAAATAACTTAGATGTTTTGTTCCACAAAAAGGCTAGAATTATTTTTTATGAAGTATAATCAAGTTTATCCTGACTGATAATAACTTAGATTTTCAATAAACGTTAATTGTATGCACAGATAAACAGGCAAATCTTATTGACTTATGTATGTTATATTAAAATATTTGAAAAATAATTTCTTAAAATGAAAATACTTCATGGTTGCATGCTTTATAGTGTATAGGTAATATATTAACTGATGTACTATAGGACACTTGATTTTAAATGGTGGGCTCCAAACAAGAACTGTGTGACTACTATAAAATTTAAATTTATTGGGATTATATAGAAAATAACTAAGGTAAGGTAATTAATGGGATTTTATTCCAATTATTTATGTTAGAGGTATTGCAACCTGAACATTGATTAATGGCCATGGCATAAATTTGAGTATACAGGCTATTGTGCCAAAGATGGAAAATCGCATAGTTCTCTTTATCATTATATTTGTATTGTGCTTTGGTTTTTATAATAACATTTCACCATTATAAGATATCTTATTTTATTCTATAATTTAATTCAATAAAGTCATTATTTCCTTTTTTCCCTATCTGACAGTGTGGAAATTGAGGCAAGGGGAAATGAACTGATCTTGCCTAAGGTCGATCTATTTTTTTTTTTTTTTTTTTTTTGACAGAATCTTGCTCTTCCGCCTAGGCTGGTGTGCAGTGTTGCGATCTCAGCTCACTGCAACCTCCGCCTCCCGCGTTCAAGCAATTCTCTTGTCTCAGCCTCCTGAGTAGCTGGGATTACAGGCGTGAAGATTCAGGGTATAAAATAGACCTTTATGTCCAAATGCTTATTACTTTCATAAAGAAGATTTCAAAATATTTAAGGTGCAGCTTATGGAAATTAGTGTTCACACTAACCATAATGCTAAAAAATATCTATGAAGTTATTCTATTTCAACTAAGAAATTCTATCAAAATATATCATCAATAGAGATAAAAAAATGAAACTCACAGGTTGGGAAAAATATTTGCAATAAAAAAACAACAAAAGCTAAAGAGCTTTTACAAATCTATTTAATAAATGAAAAGGACATCAAAGCTAATGTTCTTTTCGTATGTTAAATAGATTTGTAAAAGCTAAAACATGGATAGAAATTTGAATGGACACTTCACAAAAAGAATACCCAAATGGCCAGTAAGTACGTAAAAAAGTGGTTTATTTACTTTAATAATCATCAGATAAATACAAATTAGAATTACAATGCATCTTCATTCTGCTACACTCTGCAGGATAGCTAAAGAGTAAATAATAATAATAATAATAATAATAATAATGTAATAGCAAATGTTAGCAAAGATCGAGAGAAACCAGAACTCTCATACCCTACTTGTAGGTGAACAATGTGGTGCAACCTGTATGCAAGGTGTTTGAATGTGTATACTAAAGTTAAACATATGCATATGCTATGACAAAAATATTTTATTCTAGTATGTACACCTTAAAGTACATATGTGTTCACAGTAGAACTATTTATAATAGCCAAAAACTAGAAATTTCTCCAGTGTATGTCAACAGTAGAATGGAAAAATAAATTACACTATATACAAACAATGAAATACTGTATAGCAATGACAACAATCTTCAAGTTTGTGCAACAATAAGGAATATCATTCACATAATATTTAGTGGAAAAATATATGTACAAGAGAACATAATATATAATTTCACTTATGTAAATTTCTAAAACAAACAAGATGAATCTATTTTGCTTAAAGTCAAAATAGTGGTTAACCTGTGGGAGGGGGTTAATAACTAGGAGAGTCATGGGAAGGTGAGATCTTATAATGTGGTGATAATAGTCTACTTTGTGATCTTGATGCCTTTTGCACAGTTATATAAAACTCTGTAAAAACTGACTGTGAATGTTAAACTCATATGTGAATGTATATATGTATCATACTTCAGTGAAAGCTTAAAAAGTTAAAATCAATAATCAAAATATATCTTATTTTCCAGAATTCTGTGTTTACTTTATATTTCCATTTTTAAGAAAATTGGTAAAGGCAGTGATCAGTGATAATCTTTACTCCACTTTGTGACTATTTTTCCGTATATAATGAAAAGGAAAACAAATAACATGTGACATTTCAATGAGCCACATTAAAAATAATATCCAACACAGTGGTACATGACACCAAAATATGACATAAACATATATTTGGCATTTGAAAATATAGAGGTTATCCTCACAGTTCTAAAAAGCAAAGGGGCAAAATCATTCATTCAGTATTTTGTTGATATTGTAATTGTTTACCAGGCAAAAGTGTGACACCAATTATAAAAAATGCATTATAATTATTACAGTTCATTTGTTCTCTCAGCAAATTATAAGAGATCTCAGAATAACAGAAACCCAGAGCTGACAAGTGCAACTTTACTGGAAAAGAAAACAAAACCCCATATTCTTCAAGATCACTTGAAAATTTATTTGTGTTTAAATAATTATTTCAGATGATGCTTGTGCTCCTAATAATCAATTAATGGGGAAAAATGTCTTTTCATTACCCATTTGAAAGCAATTGTTATTTAGTGCCTACTCTGTGCCAGCACAAAATACATATTTATCTAGCACCTAATAGTAAGCCCAGTGGCTTAATATTTGGAGACACACCAAGATAGTATAAGATAATCACATTCTCAACCAATGTCATGGTAGCAAGAAAATGATAGATGCATTTTGCTTAACATTCAGCGTATTTTCTATTACATAGATGGCAAAATATATAACAAAATATTCTCAGTACTGCTTTAGATTATTTCTTTCAGAAAAAGGCTGGGGTAGGGGAATACATTATTTCAGTTCATAGAAGGATATTGAAGTTAACTGGGACTTGAATGTTGGAAGTGAAAATGATTTAGTGTAATGAGATTTTGAATATAAATTAAAAGTAAACCAACAAGTTGTGCCAATGGACTTGGTGTGTGGAAAATCAGGGATGACACCCAGGTCTTAGATTGGAAACTTCGCAGAAGTGTTGACATTAGGTAAAATGGGAAAGATTGAATCTTAATTGTTATGGTATGAACCTGCTCAGTTTGTAATCCTCAGGAAAGGTCTACTGGAAGCTCTGTATGAGAATCCAAAGTTTAGGAAATACTATAGCACTAGAGATGGGACTGGACCTAAAGAGAAATTATTGGAAGTTTAACAAAAAAGGCCAAAAACTGAACCTTTAACTCTTCCAATATTTGGAGGTCAATCAGACAAAGAGGGCCAGCAAATAATCTAGAATGAACAGCCAGGTAGAAAAGATGAAAATAAGGAAAATAAATTTCTTTAAGAAAAAAAGATATTGACAAATATGACAGCTGATCCTGAAAAAGATTGAGTGTGATGAGAACAGATACCTGTGAGAGTCAGCCAAGACATCCCAACAGTACATGAAGGCTTGTATCTATTTAAAAGTATTTGAACAGGATTTAGTGCAATTTTCATTCCTGGAGATTACAATTGGGAAGTTAACCTAGAACAACCGAGTTGGAAAGCTGCTTAGAAATTTTGTGAAGAGGGCTGGGCACAGTGGCTCACACCTGTAATCCCAGCACTTAAGGAGGCCGAGGCAAGCAGCTCGCTTGAGCCCAGGAGTTTAAGACCAGCCTGGGCAGGGTGGGAAAACCTCATCTCTACAAAAAGTACAAAAATTAGTGGGGCATGATGGCACTTGCCTGTAGTCTCAGCTACTCAGGAGGCAAATGTGGGAGGATCGCTTGAGCCTGGGAAGAGGAGGCGGCAGTGAGCCAAGATCATGCCTCTGCACTTCAGCCTGGAGCCTGGGCAGCAACAGAGGGAGACCCTTTCTCAAAAGACAAAACAAACAAACAAACAAGAGTGGATAAGCAAACTGGCATACCCAAGAGACTGTTAAACATGTTGTTGAAGAATTTATGATGACATAGAAAATGCAAATATTTATAGTTAAAGAAACAACACAGTCATGTAAATAATGCATAGAATTGATAAACAGCTATATCTATACATACACGTATGCAGATATAGGCTTTTTTCAGGGAGAAAATATATTAAAATGTGAGTGGTTTCTCTAGGTAATGAAAGTATGCCTGAATTTATTTCTTTACATTTTCCATATTTAAAACAAATTATTTGCCATTACTTTACAACTGAAAAGAAAATCTAGTCTCAAAAAAGTTTTCAGTACGTTTAAATGTATTGCATGATGTTCAAATTTTATAAAAAAAATACTGTAACATTATCTTTCACAATTTTATTGAAAACCCCATGTTTCCTACATCATATGTAAAAGAAAAATTTTTTAGACTATGATAAAATTAAAACAACTATGATTGCAAAGAAAAAATGACTTTTGAATATCTGAATTACAAATCACTGTAGGAAATTAAAATGTACCTATTTTTACCTACACTTCCACTTCAAGAATTGTATCTAAAATAAATAAATAAATACAAAAATGAACACATAAAATAAAATATATAAGTAATTATATAAGTATGTAATGCCACCTACACAAGGATTATTGTATAAGCATTATTATAGTGGGCCATTTGGAAATAGACTGAATATCCATCAAAACAGGAGTAGCTGGATAAAATGAAATGTGACTCACCCATTAAATAAAACAGAATCTCTATATCTACAATCTCCATATACACACAAAATAGCAGTCCATACTATATTCTTGACATGAATAATAGCAAATGACAAGTAGTTTATTTTCTCAGTGAATATTACATGGTAAGAATTTCCTAGGTAATTAATAGACATACAAATATTTTTATGCCAATTAATGAAATATTTTTTAGTGTATCAATGAACTATTATTTATTTAATCATTTTCCAGCTGTTATACATTTAGAAGAAAATACATACACGAAGATTCTATGCATTTAGTCTCCTAGAGTTTCATATATAAAAATATGCACTATATAATTTTTCGATTACCAAAATTCCCACATCATTATTCACAGGAAATGTAATACATATTCATCACTGGGAGTACAGAATATTTGCAACATGATTCTTTAATAAAAGAAGGCTTCTTAATTATGAAAAAGTTTTTGTTTTAGTCTGCCATTGCAAAATACCATAGATTTTGTGGCTTATACCAGGAATTTATTTTCTAAGAGTTTCAGAGGCTGGGAGCGTGAGATTATTGTGCCATTATGGTTGCTTTCTGGTAAAGGCTCTTTTCCTGGCATGCATATGGCCACCATCTTACTATGTTCACATGACTTCTTTGTGAGGGTGCTGAGAAAGAGGGAACTAGAGAGAGCAAGCTCTCTGATCTCTTCTTATAGGATGTCAATCTCATTATTAATTCCTCACCCTCATAACCTTAGCTAAACCTAATTACCTCCCAAAGACCTCATCACCAAATACCATCACAATGGGGGTTAGGGCTTCAACATATGAATGTGGGGAAATACAATTCAGTTTATAGCAGTCCTAACATCTAAAATGGTTTCTTCAAGCAACCTACTGTCTTGGAAACCAATCCTTTATCATATATTTGCAGAATGTTTTGATATTGAGCAAATATAGGAAAGTAGAATTAATGTTTAACAAATCTATCTAAAATATTATTTATTCATTATTCTACAAATATAGCATTTAAAAAGAGATATTTGAAGTGTACAAGTTTAGGGTGAATAAATGGTCATATACCAGGTATGGGATAATTAAATAACAACTGTAATTGTTTTAAAATATGTAATTTTGACATTAAGCAAACACATGTTTTCAGTTCATGATTGTGTAGTATCAGCAATTAGAGTTTTAACTTATCAGCATAAAGAATAATGTAAATGTATATTATATTACCACAAAGGTAGAAGCCAAAATCTGAATACCGATATTTTTTCTTAATCTGAGATTACTGTAAACACATTTTTCCTAATTGAATTGTAAATGATAAAATATTTAATTCTTAATTTGTTAATAATTTTGTTATATCTAAAATATTGTTTATGTTATTTATAAATATTATGTGGAAATAAAAGCTTAAGATGAGGATAAATTTACAACGTGATTAACATTTCAAGAATTCAGGTTGTATTTTCTTATATTTTCTTGCCAATTTCTTAATCTTGTAAGGCCTTTAAATTTTAGTATATTTCAAGACATCAGTGAACAAATCTGAATGCTGAGGATACATCTAACTGTCTCAAATGCATGAATAAATTTATAAATATGAGCTTAAAATTACTAATGGAAAAAAATTGTATTGGTTTTATAGATGTATCTGAACAAATATAAAACCCTATTGGTTGTATAGGTGCATCTGAACAAATATTTTTTGATTCTTCTCATAACTGGTACTACATTTGTATAAATGTTTATTTAAAAAAATAAGCCTTAGAATAGGAGAAAAAAAAAACAGTAAATAAGATAGGAAAATCCTATTTTCATATTTTCTGCCTAAAATCAACTGGAATATATTTATTGTATATTTTGCATATTGCTATATAATTATATCTCTCTATCTCAAAACTTTCCATTCCCTAACTGACTTCCATGAAGAATGTTATAGACTTACAACATTTCATAAATTATCTTAATTTAGGGCACCATTGGTTCCCCAGTAAGCTTCAGCTGTTGAGACTTCATTCTGCATAGCTTCAATCTACATATGCTTTCCCTTGTGAGCAGTTGCTCAGGGCTCTGTCAAAAACTAAAGTCCAAGTATGTAATCGGGTGTGCTCCCAAAGATTCTAACGGTTATACTGGTCTTATCTACTGATAATTCAGAACCTTCTACTTAAAAAGAAGTATTCATTGGAAGTCCCTTTAAACCAGCTACATGTATAAAGATTTCCTGTTATCCAGGGATTGTCAGGCCCCAAGATTTCATGGAGTGGCTACAAAACAGAAGGCTATTCCTTAAACCCATCATTGTCTTAACTCAAAAGATACTGAGATGTGCCATCCTAGAAACAAAAAGAGACAACTTAGAGCTCAGAAAATAGTAAAAAAGACAACTGCAGAATCTAAAAAATAACATTTTTGCTAAAAAGGAAATATTCTATTTTTTAATAAAGATATTTTCAGAGCAAGGGAAGATCACAGAAATGCTAGAATGATGTATCCTGGCATGTGGGATTGGGAGAAATGTCACAGGACAGGAGTGAGATAAGCAACACATTAATTAGTAAGATTTTTTTAAAAAAAAATATCTATATATACTTATAAATTCAGGGGGTACATGTGCAAGTTTGTTACTGGATATTGACCTAGACAGAGAATTTATGACTAATTAGTAGGATTTTTAAAGAGGAGTTTCCACTAATAAGAATTGAAAGCCTTTTGAAATTGCATATTTTACACAGGAAATCAATATGGAAGCATGACATCTTACTGATACAGTGAAAGTCCCTGGACTTTCATGTCATCTCATCATTGTTTTCATTAAAGCGAGAGGTAACTGGTAGTCTTTGAAATACAAAATTCAGTAAGTTCAAGCTATGTGATTTTGTGAGATTTTACCTGTCTGAACCATGGTTTCCTCAACTGTAAAAGAAAATACCAATGACTTCTCTTAATTGTTTAATAATTATGAAAATGAATATAATAGGGCTTTTCTACTGTTCCATTCAGTTTTCTATGAAAGCAGAAAATTGATGAAATTCTTAAAATAAGCCTTTTAAACTAAATTTGTATTGATTTGCATTCCATACTGTACTCTCGCCTCAAGAAAGTTATAGTGCAATGTACTCTTCCGGTATTAGGGAAATATATTTTAACACCCTCTAGTGTCCCTAAAAACTCTAAATAACTTATAAAAATTGAAGATTACCTTTTAAAAGAACTCTTTTTAATATAATAACATTTATTATAGAATAATAATTTTGCCATATTGTGTCACTTGTGGAATAATGTGAGACATTTCAATTTTAACCTTTACCATTATGAAATAAATTTCTCATAATCTGCAGTGTGTAAAGGAGCAAGAACTAGCTAATATCTTAATATTTACAATGTATTTGTATGCTTCTAGCTGCAGTTTGATTTTAAAGGTTGAAAACAAATGAAAACATGTCAACAAATTAAGGAGTATGAACAGTTAGGATAGAATAAAATTTGCTTTTGCTTTACTCCATTTTTGTATCCTGAACCTTAAGAAACTCAATCCTAGTAATGCTTTCAAGCCCATGAGGATTTAAGAAAAAAACTCAAGAAAATAAATGTGCATTGAAGAGATTGGAGTGCAGGGAGACGGGATTTTTCAGGGTGACAGGATCTCTGTTCCATGTGTGTGCACAGATACCAGAAGGCACTATCTAAGACCAGAAAAAAATAGTTTCTGTCATCTCCAGATGTAGGGAATGACTGCCCAGCAGGGCTCTTCAGACTGTTGAGAAGTCTGGGTCATCCAATCTGCCTCCTCCATAAAACAGCCTCATCATTTGAGTGTTCCATGGAAACCATGATCTTTACTAATCAAAACACCCCCTTCTAGTAACAGAACTTCAGTATTTTCAATTCTAGTAGAAATGACAACTAAATACATACTAGAAGTAGCAAACAGAGGACCCTGTCTCTCATGAATTGGTAAGATGTACTTCACTCTCTAGGCTTTGTATAATTTAATGATATTAATTAAGAAAAAATCATATTGCAAGCATTTACAATTTCATTTTTCCTTTATAAAGTGTTTAATAGGTATGCAGCCTTATGGGAGTAGTTAAGCCTAAATATCAGCAGATGATAAATATTTCAAAAATGCTGCTCTTTTATAATAACAACAATCTGCCATTGCTATGAGATATTGATATTGATCAAATTATCCATTGAGAAACAATAATTTACTGAAAATTAACATGTGAATTATAAAAATTATTGTGTTTAAATAAAATCCTTTTTTAATTTTTAGAAATTACCTGTCATAGTCAAAATATTATGATAATAATCTATATTATCATAGCCATATGGATTGATTTCCCTTTATAGTTATGTAGATACTTCTCTATTTTGTCATAGCCATATGGATTGATTTCCCTTTATAGTTATGTAGATACTTCTCTATTTTATTACCAAGGCACATTATATTGAAAGAAGATAAGGAAACCATAAAAAATGCTCTTGAGACATATTTAAATTGAAAAATTATTTGTGTTTGTAATATATGTAATTTGTAATGTATGTTATTTGTAATTTGGAACATGTTATACTCCTTCCAATTTTAGGAGTAGAAAGACTGTACATTAGGATTAGATTTTATGTTCAAGAGTGTGAATTCAAACTCATAAACTAAAACTGTGTTGTGAATACATTTAGTTTCACAAAACCTTTAAGTGGCAACATCCTTAAAATCTTATGAAATATGAGATTTCATCATTGTCTCACTGATAAAATAAAGGAGAGCAGAAATTAGAGACAGATTTCAGGATCACCATGTAAGGGTCACTATTTGTTGCCAACCACCTACCTTGCCAGAACTTCTTTCAAGGGACGAAATATTCTTAGGAAGAGTAGTTATCCTGCTTGACCTCAGAATAGATGATTACTACTTTGCTAGCTCCTGCATGTTGGTCTCTACAATATTTTAATCAAACAAACATGAGATTGACCATGTGCTACTGTAGCTATAATAATTTTTCAAATGTGAAGCTTCAGAGAGCAGTCAAGGACTGGAAACAACATCAGCGGTGAATAATAGCCTCAAAATGAAGCATACGGATTAGGAAATTTCCAACACTGTTTGTAACACTATTCTCGTGCTTGCTAAGAAGAATGAAGTAACAAGTTTATGCCAATCTGCTGATTGTCAAGGAAACTTCACACATCGATTTATGTCATGGGATTTACTCCATTGGACAAGAACTGTTTTCTTGCCTTTTCCAGCTTGTTTAGGGCCACCTTCTTTCCTTAGCTCACTCATGGCCCCCTTCCTCCATCTTCAAAGTCAGTAACATCAGACCAAGAAGTTTTAATGATACTGCATAGTTCTCTCTTTCAATTCTGTCTTCCACTTTTAAGGATCCTAGTAATTACATTGGGTCCACTGAGATAATCTGGGATTACTTTGCTATGTTAAGGTAAAATGACTAGCAACTTTCATTTCCACTGCAATCTTAATACCATTTTACCCTGTAATTAATGTATTACCAGGTTCCGTAGGTTAGAAGGTAGACATCTATGGGTTTTTGTTGCTGTTGTTGTTGTTGTTTTTGGTAGGAGGGAGTGTTATTCTACCTACCACATCTGTTGTCATTAGGTGAAGAATATTCAGACCACAAAGTATACAGAATCCACCTGTGCTTTTCCAGGGACACTACAGATTGTATCCAGCCTAGGGCTCTATGGGAAACCAGTGGCAGCTAGAACCATGGGGACCATGGCCAGATCCTTTGTAATCCCTAATAGCATCTTTATGAGCCTTTAATGAGCATGAGCTTGTGCAGCTTGCTTGGAGGTCAGCCAAACTTTTCTCTGGCTTCTTGGTAAGTAGAGACTGTTCAACAAATTCCAGACAAGTTCTCACCACTGTAAAATACACCAAAGTAAGATGTCAAGCAGATAATTAAGTCATGGTTTATGATTTTATTTTATATACATGGTTTTTAGAATATAAATATATTCTATAAAACATATAATTCTATAAAATAATTACTGATGGCCTAATTGCTTGGTATTTGTTCCTGTAAGTAATATAGGCCCAACTTGAGAGTCCAATTTGCTTTATCCACCATAGGACCAATCATGTAGACATTAATGACCTGCATACTTGACAAAGCCCTATAGGGTAATATAATAAGGTACTGTGAAAGTAACATTATAATCCATAATATCACTTATGAATTAATTCATTGTATTTAAATGTTCCCACTCACACATTTTCCCCTTCCCTGTTCTTCTGGGAATATCTGAAAAATAAGACAAATACACTTACTACCTAGTTATGCTAGGAAGTTTAATACCCAAGAAACACATTTCCTTCATATTCAGAGACAGAGCTCTAAGAATCTCTGAATGATTTTAGAATACAAAACCTCTCCATTCACATTATGGAAAATATGCAGGAATATTATACTTGTGATTTATGTTTTAGTTTCTACCACTCACCTGCAGCTCTACTGAACTAATTTATTTCCTCTTTAAAACCTACACGAAAGCATCTTCTGTGCTACATGTTTCTCTCACCATTCTCCAATATGCATTGCGAATCAAGTCATGGTGCTGAGCAGAATCCTTTCCCTGAGAACTGTTGATAATGCTGACCAGCACTCACAAGTGCGTCCCTTGAAACATTTTCAGTCATCACAATCCCAGATGCCATGAGTCATTGAATGTGTTTTTTTGTTTTTTGCTTTACATATATAGCACTTGGCCCTTATTTCAGCTGATGGAGTAGGTAAGAAAACGGATTCTGCTGGTTGTTTCATTTTTCTTTTTCTTTTTTTAAAATAAAATAAAAAAATTTATTTAGAGTTTTTTACTCTCCGAAGTCTCTCCCACAGAATCCCTCAATCTCAATGGAAGTAATATGCTTAAATCATATAAACAAGGACAGTGCATGACAGAAATCAAAATGCTATTTTTATTTATTTAATGCCATTTACAACTGTTCATTATGACACAACTAAATAACTTAAGCATATTTATTTTATTAATAATGACAATTTTAGTTTTTTTGACAGCTGAATCCCTCGACATAAAGATAATTAATTTAGCCCTCTTTTACCAGCAGACACCATTCTGCTGAATAATCAGTCAATGAAGGAAAAGTAAACAAATGAAAAAAAACCAGCAAAAAAATGTGTGTACATAAATAGTTGATTTTATGATTGGGATAGATGGAATCTATTTATAGAAGATAGTAATGTTTATTTGAAGATAAAATTAGGTTCACATCATTAAGAAATCTATGTGGATAGATACTATTAATGTGATATATATTAATAGTATATTGATACATTAATCAGAATATATTAATTTTTCCTTATCTGTTAATTTTTACTCTATTTACAACAGTGGAAATCTATAAAGCCAATATTAACTTTCTCTGGAAGAGAAATAAATTGATGATGAAATATCAGATACTTTCACAAAAATATGTAAGTTGAGATGAGAATTTTTAGCTGTCTTTTTCAGCACCAACTTTAAAAATTATTTTAGATCAGCTTTATGATTAGTCTAAAAATTAGTTTAAAACTTTAAAAAACAAAGAAAGTCAAAATGAGAAGCAGATGGGCCTATACTTCTTTAGACATGAACTGTCTGTTTCTCCTTATGATCAAAAGAAAGGCAAGAAAGGAAAATGGAATAAAACACCCGAGATTTCACAGACATTGCTACACATTGCCATGTATTCATTAGATAGCCAAATATATTCATATTGAAACACTCATTCTTACTCAATATGTTCATACTATCATGTTTGAGTGCTTGGTTTTAAAAATATTTGATTGAAATTAGGTATTTTGCACTCAAATTATTAAGGGTAGATATTAATATAAATTTTGTTTATAGTCTAAGGTTTATATTTTTATAATATTTGAAGACAGTGAAAATGTTTACTTAACCTGACATTATTTCAATTGTGACACACAAATATTCCTATAGTCTATATTGTAGTAGATGTAAGACCCACTCAAAGGCATACTAGACACATATTAAATTGTTAGTTTTACCTTATTATGTCTGTTACAAAAATTATGAAAAACTATTTTTATCAGCAATCACTAATCTCCAAAATTCTAAGCTCATTAGTGTGGTAGAAACACCTAATTGTCATTGAGACTGATGAACAACTTATGGTAATGGCACACAGACTGAGAGAATTTTATGCTAAAAAAAATTAAAAATAAATAGGAGGGTATCCAATAACAAAATTTTAGGATTTATGGATCCTCTGTCCTTCAAATACTGCAATATTGGACCAAATATATAATTTAGCACTAAGGTGCTAAAAATAGAACTTACTAATAAAGACTTGCTTCTCTATTCTCTATTACGCTCACATGTGCTGCAGAAATATATCAAGCCATCATCTTCTGGTTTCTAGTCCATCACTGGCATATTATTTCTCAGATCACATTTTTGCCGTGTATTCTTTGTTCAAACTGAGAGTTCATGCAATTTTCTCAGTCTCATCCTGGTACTACCAGTACTACCTCACTGACAAAATACATATGTTCCAAAAACATTTGTAAATGCACATTTATGTCAAAAAATCGTACTTCTTTTTGCTGAATTACATTACAGTCAAATGTTCTTATGAGGGAAATAACATCATTTTGAGCTAAAACATTTGCTTTGCATTTTTCACTATTTTATAACAGGAAACTTTGATCACTACTAATAGCCATCTGTCTCTTTCCACTTCAAACTAAAGCATCTTTTGCAGGACTATGATTGTCGCATATGGATATGTAAGTATTCCCATTTAAATATCCTCTATTCTCTTCGGCAGGAATCTGGACTTTATTACCTGTTCCTGAATGACTCTTTCTTATTTCATTATCCATAAATCCTCTCATACTCTCTTTTAAAAATCTCTCAAATCCTTTCTCTATTTTTCCCTCCACTTATATTTCGTCGCTTAAGAACTTTCAATCCTCTTTTTAGAATGGCACAATAGCCTGTTAACTGGTTTCAAGTCTCCAGTATTACCAAGCTCCCAATTTAATATGACAACTAAAATGGATTGCTGAGACACACTAAGTACATTGATTTGATGCCCTGTTCAAAGCTTTCTGTCTTGCTCATAACATTATATTTTATATTGTGTCCCAAAGAAGATCAATTGGAAACTCAAAATGGGATTAGGGGAAGAGAAACAAAGTTCCATAGATAAATGAGCTTAGGAAATTGCAGACATAATTCTTTTCATTGCTGTAGGCCTCTCAGGGTATTTTGAAGTTGTAGGCCTGTTGAATATCCAGGAAGAGAGAATAGTATGCAGCATTTCCCAAACCTATATGTTCATAAATTCTGTGGCATAGACAAGGAGGCTGCACATACTTAATGAACACAATTTGAAAAATGTTGGGCTTAGGGACAGTTTCAAACTTCCAGGTGTGGCAATAGGAGTGCCTCTAATTCTGTCCACATCTAAAACCGGGCTCAAATCAACTCTGCTCTTCCCTGTTATTCTTGCTACACTAGAACAGTCACAGTGCCTCCATTGGTGATCATACTTGCTTTTTTTTTTTTTTTCCCCTGGGACAGGCTCTTGCTCTGTCACCTACCCATGCTGAAATGCGATAGCAGGATCACAGCTCACTGCAGTCTCAACCTCCTGAACTCAAGCAATCTTCCCACCTCAGCCTCCTGAGTAGCTGGGACTTCAGGTGAAACCACCATGCCCACCTATTTTTTGTGTGTGTGTATGTGTGTTTGTGTGTAGAGACGAGGTTTCCCTATGTTGACCAGGCTGGTATTGAACTCCTGGGCTCATGTGATTCTTCTGCCTCAGTTTCCCACAGTGCTGAAATTACAGGTGTGAGCCACCATGCCCGGCCTAAATTTGCTTTTATATTTGCCTAATATGTCCTTTCCTGGGAAAACTCTTGCCCCACTCTCAAGAATCAGCACAAGTATTGCTTTCTTTAATCCAATATCTACCCTCCCCAACCTGTTACTTAAAATCATTTGAGAAATCTCTAGATCTTTACAAGTGAGGCCCCAGTATTGGTTTTAATTCCTAACGTTGGTTCTGAGAAAGTGTAAGTGCTGAGAGCCATTGCTCTGATTCTCATAAAAAGAAATCATGCCAACATTGGGCCACTATTCTAGCTGATGCTCCTATTGCAGCACTCGTCATGCTGCATTGTGTTAGTTTACATGTTTTGTCATTAAATCAGGACTATTACTGATGTTTGTATTTCTGAAAAGTATTACTATTCTGATACAGGATAGGTATTCAGTAAGTATATATTATTAATTAGCAAAAAAGTTTAGTCTAAAATTGGATCTTAACTTCCTAGTAGATATGGACATTTTACAAATATTTATTATTTTGTATTATAACAGAAAGGCAAAAAACTCGCATCCACATATAAGTGCCATCATCATGAACCAACAACTATTGTAAACGGGTACATTAAAAAGATAACATTATTAAAATTTTGAGAATTGTATGAGTAAAAATTTTATGTCCTTGTATTTGGAAAAAGACTGCATCGTAAACAAACCTGGACGGCCAAGTTAATAATCATAGTTGTTGAAGTACTATAAATCATTTAAGCTTTGGAAAGATAAATTACACAAAAATTCAGCAAACTTGTTGTGGCAATAGTATTTAACATAATGAGATAAAAATTACTGTATGGAAGACTATGTATGAAATAAATGATTTATTTTGCCAAAAGCACTATATAAGTTTAGGGGGTAGCTATTAACAAAATAGGTCTGAAAAATATTTTTCAAAACAATAAAGAGAAAATCGACTGTAAATGTAAACAGTGAGTTTGCAAATCACCTATCCTTGGAGCACCACTCTTAAAAATCTGGTGGAATATAGCAATATCAGAAATCAATCAGAAACATTTAAATAAAATTAAAACCTTAGATGTAACAAACTGAAATGAAATTAAGGCCTCAGTAAAGAGTTAGATCATCAGATATCTAAAAAAATAATCCCCAAGAGAGCCCATAACCCAGTTTAACCTTGGTGAAAGTTTATTGCCCACCCCAAATCCATTCTTTTCTTTTTCAATTGTAGCAAAACCCTGATTTTTGGGGAGTGGCATTGTGTCCAGCTACAAAACTTTATATTACCAATGATTTTAGCAAACCAAGTCATGACCAATAAGATGTAGGTGGAAGTTTTAGAGAATGCTTTTGGAAAACTTTTTATTATGGGCTGAAGTTACCTGACAGTATTTTATAGTCCTTCTGCCTCTCATGAAGACATGACAGCTGGAGCTACAGTGATTACCAATGGCAATGAGATGGTCTTGAGGATGAAAGTCACTTGCAAAGTATGTTGAGCAGAGAAGAGATAGCCTGAGTGTTGTGGCATTATGGAGTCATCACACCTACCCTACATTATTTACTTTTTCACATTTTAGTTTATTTCACTGAGTTTTTTTTTTTTCATGTCTGTTGCTAGTAACAAAATGCAATACCAAATTGATAGACAATGCTCTTTCTCAGAAGACTGTCATCTAACTGGTGTTATTTAGTACTTTTTTCCCATGAATACATGCCTAAATATCTTTCCTTGACATGTAAAAAGGGAACCTAGAGAAATATTGTTATTTTCTGGCTTTTCTGAAGGTCCTGTCTATCCTCTGGATGACTGACATCCAACATGACCATAAAGGAGAACCTAATCACTATTCATAAGCATTACAGAAGCATGTACAACATTCTTCCTGTACTGAGTAAAAGATACCCTGTGATCAATTAATTAGGGAGCTTCAACATTTAGAATAAGTGTAATCATTGGCACATTTACTTAAATCATTTGATTTAAGAGACATTCTTCATGCACCTGTAATTTGATCAAGGTGACTTAAGAATGCTTTTAGGGAGGCATGACTGGACTTGACTGTAACTAAGGAAACACATATTAAAATAATTACATTTAACTGTGTTCATAGAGCTTGAAGAATATATGAAGAGAAGGGAGATAGACTAAAAATAAATGAAAGAATGGGACTGAAAGTTAAAATATGATAATGTTCTGAGCATTAGTCACTGGAGAATGTGCCTAATTTAAATAATTAAATTTGTGTTCTCTGTGAGCTTCATTAGCACAAGTCCAATTCTGACTGTTAGGCTGTAATGAAATCACCAAAATAGTGCCACCCTGTTGGGATATCTTTGACTGGACAGCTGGCAATTCTCAAGTGATTTCTCTCAGTCCCTGGCATTCAGTATCCTCAAACAGACCACCCCTACAGAAACATGACTTTGCTCAACAGTCTTCATAAATCAGTTTTATTCAAATTGTAACCTATTTATTCCAAAACCCATATAAAAATATAATGTATGGAGAGAACAGGATTGTTTTGTCATTCTCATTCTTAACTTCTATAAATCTCTTCTAATTGTTCATTTTCTTATTATCTGGCTTTAGTTCTTCCATCACTTATAAAATGTAACCATTTATCCAAGGTTCAGTTCTTGGATGATGCCCTTCATCATAAAACATCCTCCAGTTATTAAAAACAAAACCCTAAGAACTACAACTTCATCTCCTTACTCTCCTTTTCAGTTAAATTCCTCTGGAGCTGCTATACTTGTTGTCTTCAATCATTTTTCCTTTCTCTACTTAATCCACCCTCATCCAACTTTAACCTCTCCATGAAACTGCTATGTAAACATCAGGAGTGCCCTTCATGTTGCTAAATGCAAAGGTCAGTGTTCTTTCTTCATCTTCCCTGATCTAACATCAGATTTCCAAACAGTTTATCACCCCCTCCTTATCAAAATACTCTCTAGCTCTTTATTTTCCAGGACCCTATATATATTTGAGGTCACTTATAACTCAACAATTCCTCCTTATTAGGTACTTCTGCTAATTTATTCTCTTCTCTCCAATCCTTCATACTGGTGTGTCTGGGGTTGAGTCTTGATCCTCTTTTGTTCGCTATCAATACTCATTCCCCTGGTATTCTGAGGACTTGAAATACCATGTCCATTATCATCTCATTTCTGCTGCTCAATAGCAGTGAAAACATGCATAAGTTGCTTATCCTTTCCATTAATCACTTTCCTTATTTGTAATATAGAAGCAAAATACAAATTTACCTCTTTTTTTTGTTCTTCAAGGCTGTTCTCCCACTGTCTCTACCTTGTAAAATGGTTGTGTAAATTAAATATTAATGTATTTAAATTTATCTTGGCACACGGTAGGAGTGTAAGCTAGAAAAAAGGGTGACAGACTAGGGAGAAAGGTTAGCAAGAGAATTTGCTCTTCAGATGTGACCCAAAGTGTTCACATCCATTGATCTGAGATTGCCATTCTTGCTTCTTCTCTGAAGAGCCTCTGTGACTTTGAATGACACATTTAATGCCCGGGCCTTGGTTTTCTTTCCAATAAAAGGAAGGGACTGATCTAGATGACTTCCCAGATCCCTAATATCACTAAAGATTCGTGCTTCTCTTGAGTCTTCAGGATCAGGGCAAAGTTTCACACCAAAACCAGTCCTTGGCCTTTGAACATGACTGTTCCAGGATGATATTTATTTTTCACATTGTTTCTAAAGGATATTCAGAGGGAGGGTGAGATTTGCAGTTCAGCATTGGTTAGGAAATGAGAAAGGAGCTGATGTTCATCCTCGTTACCTGGTATGACTTCTGGATGGTGAGAATCCTTGAAAAGAAATAAAAGGACAATAATGAGTAAGACAAGAATAATAATATTAATAAAAGCAGGAGTGATATTCAATATATCACAGTATTAGCACAATATTAACAGTAGGAATGGCATGGGCACTGACAATGAGAATATCTTTCAGGTACGTAGGTATATTCCTGCTAAATGCCACCTCTGAGTGTAGGGAATTTTTGCAGGATTAACAAAGGTCAATTAAGATAAACTAGATGAAGGAAAAAATAAGGAGAAATTGCTATTAGCTCACTCTGAGAATAGTTAGAAGTTTAAATTTTAATAAGATCTGGAAAGAAAATATATTAAATTCTCTAGCTTATTAGTCCTTTAAAAATATTTTGTGACTCACAAAATTGCACATTACATATTCTGCACTTGGAGCCACCAAGATGGTCATCTAACTTTTTAAAATATGACTGTGAATGTGCTATTGTTTCTACATTACAAACAAGGACAGTGATGCACTGAGAGGTTAGGCAACACATGCATGTTCTCAAAGGTAGTGAGCAGCAGAAATAGATGATACTTCAGGTATTCTAGTTTCTGGGTCCCTCTCTTAGATTTGTACCAGCCATTTCTTCTCACTGTACATTTCTGCTTACTACTCTTTTTGAAAAATGCTTTAGATAGAGGACTGAGAATGCCCTCTAACAGCAAACAGTATAGCTATTTCAGGGGAAAGGTTTGTTTTGATCACTCAGTATTAGAAAACCTATTTTGATCTCAGTAGAAATGAATTTATTTGGCAACTTCATTAAATTCTGCACATTTATTTTTCTGGCAGTGTAACTCTAGTGAGGTAGAGGCCTCTTAGATTGGCATTCAGCTTCCTGTCTCTCATTTCTACTCCCTTGTACTATAAGGTAGTAGCAGCTTGAATACTTCTGAGCCTCTCAACAGCTGATGCTCCTGTACACTCTCTGCCACTTGGCTACTGGCTTCTGGCAGCTTGCACTGGCAAATATGGTCCCCACTGTTTCTAGGCTCGGAGGAGCAAATGCATATAGCATGGTGGTTAAGAGCACAAATTCTATTGCCAGATTTCTGGGATTCAAATTCCTACTCTGACACTTACTATGTGGGTATGACTTTGGGTAAGATACATATTTTCATATCTCAGATTTTTTTAATCTGTAAAATTAGGATCATAATAGTCCATAGCTCATATAATTGTTGTAAAGATTAAATAAGTTCATCAGTCTATGGTGCTTAGCAAGTGCTCAGCAAGTCCACACAATGATTTATTATTAAGCTTCAGTTAATTTGCTAACGCTAACATTTTCATAGAAACTTCAGTTTGCTTTTGAATTTTTTTATTCTAGAAACAAAACCTTTTTAAAATTGCTAATATGCTATGAATAAAGATAACATACCAATATAGTATTAAAAAATTGTACATTGTGTAAGTTCTTATTATTCAGTATGCCTCTCTTTTAAGTAGTAGCCCTTCCAACCCTGCATTTCAGTGATTATTACGATTTTGCGTTATTTTGATTGCAAACACACACAATTGAAACTTCATTCCCAATATTTCACTTTTACAATTAGAATATAATGATTCTGTGCTTTGTATTTTTCTATATATATTTAAAAATAAACCTGTTTCAATGACTGGCATTAATAATATTAAAATGCAACTGTCGTGCTAATGCTTAGGAAATTTTTTTAAATGGGTTTTAAGCATGCATCAGTTATCAAGGAGACATGCCAAGGTGGCTCAGTTGATTTTTGGTGATACTAAGGAAGTTCCTGACTCCTGGTCCTGCAACGGAATAAAAAAGAAGCCAGACTGCCTTTGACACTCACTGGGATATTCATCATCATTTCAATAAGGGAGGATGGAAAAGGTGATTACTTCAGAAGCTCATTATCTTTCTCCAGTCCTTATGCCTATAATTCCAGTACTTGCCAATCCCGAGCAAGATTTTCCAGTTTAAAAATATGGCCAATATTTTCATAAGTCCTGCGTTTTATAGGCTACTGTTAGGAGCTGAAATAAAGAAGGAAAGCACTGGGACGTTTTCATGGTCAGAATATTGGTATGATTTTCTTTCCTTGAAAATAGAAGTGAAGTTCAGGATTAGACTGTGAATATATTTAGCCCTAAATATATTATGAATCGAAGCTTTCTTTATACTGGTCAGCAAAACTAAGAAGCCAGAGAAATGTTCTAATCTAATCTATCAGGTACAATACTCTAAGTAAGTTAAGGTAGCTACAATTAAAATAATTCAATCAATATTAATTAACCCTCCCCCACTTTATGTACATTTCTTTGGCAGAGGCTTAAGAGGAAATAGACCAATGAGGTATAAGCTCTGCTTTTATGCCAATGTATTTAGGAAAAATAAATGGTGAAAATTGATCCTAATCTAATTAGTAGAATCTGGAGAGACTTTTTAAATGCCTGAGCCCTGTTCACAAATCAGGACTACTAGGATTAGACCATCCCTATCATAGGCTGAACTAAAATCCAAACCTAAGCCTCCAGCTCTCCCTGGCTTTAGAGATAGGGGCCTGCATAGGTAAAGCATCCTTCAAAAGGAGCCATTAACACCACTTCCACCAGAGGGTGCAGTCTTCCTGAGACAAAGGAAGCCAGAACAAACTCCTCCTCTAGAACCAGTGACGGAAGAATGAAATGGAAAGAGCTGTACATTTCATGACACATAAATTCTTTTCTTTTGGCTCATGAACCCAATAAACTCAAATTTCTTTGAGTTTTAAAACCCTTTGATTGTAAGTATTTTCAGCAGGTTTTCTTTCTTCATCATATAGTTATTGCAAAGTCTGATGTATGAGGCATTGGGCTAGGTGTGAAGATCCAAGAGTCAGTCAAGGAAACATGATTGGATACATAAGGTAGTAGAATTTTCAGACAAAAAACAGCTTCTACCGTTTAGGTACCTGTTGTTAAAATGTGCTTAATTTAGTTGACCATTGTTAGGTCAGGAAAAGTTGAAATTCACTATACAAAGTGAATTTCAAATCTTCCTAACCTATAAGAGTTTGTACTTGTAAACATAATATTAATATGTTCTATAATCTGGCCCCAAATTTTTACCCCAAAGGTATTTGGTATAATATCTGAAAAAGTGTTCATTCTAGTTAGACTAAATTCTCAATCCAATTAAAATGGACTGTCTCACCGCACACCTTACATTGGATGACTTTGCACAATGTGGTTACCTCAGCCTGGAATCCCTCTTCCTATTCCTCCAACCTTTCAAGTCCTAAAAACCAGCTCAAATTTTATGTAATCCATGAGTAATTCTCCAAGTGAAAGAAATTTATTTGAGTTTAAAAACCCTTTGGTTAAAGTATTTTTAGCAGGTTTTCATTCTTCATCAAATAGTTTTTGCAAACTCTAATGTATGAAGCATTGGGCTATGTGTGAAGATACAACAGTCAATGAAACATAATTAGACATAAAGCCTAGTGGAGTTTTCAGACAAGCAAGCAAATCACTATGATACATATGTATTTGTAGTTATAACATAGGGTTCTAGGCAACTAAAAGACAGTCATACATCCCAGGTTCAGGGTGTCAGGAAAGACTACCTTGAAGACATGAAGCCAAGGTGCCTAGGACTTAGCAAATCATTGGTTGAAATAATTAATGAGCTCCAAGTTAGAATTCTGATTATGCCAATTTGCTGCTCAAAAACTTGTAATGACTCCTTATATTATACAAAATAGAACCTATGCTGCTAAGCACTTATAGCTGCACAGGAGTTAGTCAAATGAATAGGGGCCCAGGAATGGGAAGGAAGAATATTTGTGGCATAAGAAAAGCCTGAAGGAGAAAGAGCATGGCACACAGGGTAGTGGGCATACTTTCTCACCCTCCTAACCCACCACATAATAAAACAGGCTTTTTTTGCCTTTGCGTAAAAATACTGTAGCATCTTTAAAAAAAAATCTTCACCACGAGATGGTAAGTTTTTTACTTGAAAGAAGTTGTTATATTCTTCAGAATGTCATATACAAACAGCCTAGGACACTGATCAATTAATTGCCTTGAATTTGATTAAATATTATACAATATCATTGTTGAAAGGAGAAAGGATCACTATATAGGAAAATTAGATATTTTCTCTTTATATACTTTATATGCTGTCAAATGCTATCAATTATTAATTAATATTGAATTTAGCTTCTGTGCTTTCCAGAAATTATTTTAACTTACTCTCCACTCTGATGAGTCCAGTTTTTGTACATAGCCAACTACAATGGTTTCTATCTGTCAGAGCTCTCCACTTACAATGTCAGAAGTTGATGTAATGTTTAATGCTTCAGGCGTCAAAAGTCTTTCATCTTTCCAGACTATACTGAGCTAGAACTTTATCCCTTCTTTCTGTAGGGTCAGTGAAAAATGTAATTCCATCTATATTCACTTTTACTGTGGTTTAAAACATGAGCTATAACCTAGGAAAACATGTGGTGGTCACTTAGCAAATATCACCGCTGTCACACTTCTTTTCCCTAGAGTGACATTAATGCCTCTTCGATAATGCCTCTCATAAGCTTCTGTTTCTTATTGGTCTTACCTTTCTTCTTTTACTTTTTTTGAATGAAGAATACAAATAAATTTTTGGGTTTTTTTTTCTGAACCAGTTGTGAGTAGTTTAAAAATTTGATATTCCATCAATCCCAAACTCTTGTGTGCAATTCCTGAAAACAAGGACATTTTCTAACATAACCACAATATGACCATCAAAATCAGGAAGTTAACACTGGAAAACAAATATCGTCTGTTATAAGATGAATTGTATTCCTCTCCTCAACATTCATACATTGAAGTACCAACCCTCAGTACCTCAGGATGTGATTCTATTTGGAGATAAGGCTTCTAAAGAGGAAATTAAGATGAGGCCTGTCTAATCCAATCTGATGAGTGTCCTTATGAGAAGAGAAAATTCAGACACGAAAAGAGACACTAGGGGTGCAGATGCACAGAGAAATGATTACGTAAACAAGCAACAAGAAGAAGAAATCTGCAAGCCAAAAAGAAAAGCCTCAGAAGATACCAACATTGCTAGCACCTTGATCTTGGAAATCCAGCTTCTAGTGCTATGAAAAAAAGTAGTTTTTTAATTGTTTAAGCTATCCAGTCTGTTATTTTGTTATGGAAGTCCTAGCAAGCTAATATACCAATGAATATACAAACCCCATTCAAGTATTTTAAGTTGTCCAATAATAAAATGTATAGTGAAATATCCAAACAATTGTCAACTGTATTTAGTCATGGTTCTTTATTCTCAATAAATCTGGAACAGTGGCTCGTTCTTCCATTGACTTTCATGATTGTAACACTTGAAGAATAGACTTGCAGAGCTATTTTATAGAAATACATTTAATTTCTCTTATAATTTCTCATGATTAGATTCAGGCAATACATACTAATTTAGTCTCTGAATCCTGTGTTGTACTTTGACCCAGTGCTTGTGATATGAAGTTGATCATTTGATTAGGCTTTTGTTTGCTGTGATTATGTAATTTAAAGGTAGTCCTTTTCCTTTTATAATTATTTAAGTTTGTTGTTGGTGTGTTATTTTTCATGGGGAAATAGTTTGAGACTATGTATGTATCCTGGTTGCTATACTTTGGATGTTGTACCCTCCAATCTTTATGTTGAAATTTAATTCCCAGTGCAGAGGTGTTGAAAGATGAGGCTTAGTGGAAGGTGTTTGGGACATAGGAGTGGATTCCTTATGAATAGACTAATGTCCTCTCTCAGGGGTAAGAGAGTTCTTGCAAGAGGCCTGGTTGTTTAAAAGTGCCTAGCATCTCGCTCCTCTCTTGCTTGATTACTCTCTTGCTGTGTGGTATTTGCACATGTCAGGTCTCATTTACCTTCTGCCACAAATGGAAATGGCCTGAGGCCCTGATCAGGTGCCCAATCTTGAACTTTTCTAGCCATCAGAATTGTGGGCCAAATAAACCTTTTTTCTTTATAAATTACGCAGGCTTAGGTATCCTTTATAGCAACACAAAACAGACTAATACGCTGATTCTTGTCAAAATTTTAAGCACCATTTTTAGCATCCATAGATGATTCTTGCCTGAATCAAGTTCTATGATGTTTACCAGATGGTGCATTTTTAATTCCTTCATTCCTTCTACATACATAATTTTCTTCCATAAGGGAAGATTTATCTTATCTCCATTTACTTATTCATTCATTTATATAATTTATATATTTATTTATGTTAACGTTTAAATCATACCAGATTTTAAAAATTGGAGTCTCTTCAAGCTGGCATCCATGTTCTTTTGTCATGTCTTCAACATTCTTTGATGTTTTCCTTTACATCATGATGTTCGAGGCTCATCTTTTACTGTCCTACTCCTAAAGTTAGTGATTTCCTCAAGAAAACTTGCTTCTTGTTAATGACAATTATATTAATATTTAGAAGCCAAGATCCAGGTACTAAATGAGCTCATTGCTATTGGGGTGTCACTTCTCCCAGACCCTTCCAGTTTAGGGGACAGAAAATATGTGTGTGTTTGTGTGTGCATGTGTACGTGCGTGTATGTAAAACCATGAGTTCACACTGATAACTCTAATTCCAATCAATATCATAGGTTTTTTCTTTTTATATTTATAGCTTTCCTTTCTAACAGTGAGAAATATGTCTGCTCAATATTTGTCAATGTAAATAGACTCAGCTCTTATGTATGTAAAAATCTGTTGCTGAAAATATCTAGTGTGAACACCCTCTGCCCCTTTCTTAGACTCTACCACTCCATGCTTGGCCACTACCACAACCCCCTGTTTGAACATCCTCTTCCTCTAGTCAGGGTAGCAACTCTATTTCACCAACACAAGACTAACTTGCTCTTACCCCCAGGTGAATTATTCAGAAAAGAAGAAAGCAAAGAAACATACAAACTATTTTTTAAATTAAACATTTTTTCTAACTGTGGAATTAAAGATGTTCCAGGTATCTACCAAAATATGAGTTAAAGTGATTCCAAAATTGCAATAATCTTTCTTCCATAACTGCTTAATTAGGCAATCTTATTAAATTCGTCTAATGAGATTACAAACAGGTGCTCATTTGGACAAGCTCTTCCCCTCTTTAGCTTTTTCATTCTGTTTTCTGAGTATTGAAAGCAGTTGTGTTCACCTGATTTAACAAAGACCACCTGGGAGCATACACCTTAAATCTATAAAATTTTTATGTCACATGTATCTTAACAAAAGAGAAAAAAATACTGGTGCATTAGTCCTACTCCACAACAATAAAATCATAATCTCTGGTGTAAGGCCCAATCACGGGCATTTTCTAAAACAGTCTCTTTGCTTTTTGTTTGTTTGTTTGTTTTTTGAGACGGGGTCTTACTCTGTTGCCCAGGCTGGAGAGCAGTGACACGATCTCCATTTGTTTCTATCTTTAGTTAACAATCACTGTAAAATATTCTCCCACTCTTTAAAACTTACTTACATAAAAATAACATATGGCCTAAACTTACTGTAATAGGCAAATACTAAACTTGCCCTTATACTCTCTACCCTGTGGGGTTCTGCCCTTATATAATCTAATTTCCTGTAATGTGGGTAGGATTTGCTTCTAGCCAATAAAAAGTGTCAAATGTGAAGTAATTTCACAGATGTAATACAGGTTCCAAATCAGTTAATTTTGATTCAATCAAAATAAGATTATCTTGGGTGAGCATGTGTCTTAGTCTATTTTCTGATGCTATAACAGTGCTACCCACTAGGTAATTTACATAAAATAAAAGTTTATTTCTTACAGTTCTGGAGGCTAAGAAGTCCAAGAACATGGTACTGGCATCTGTTGAGGTTCTTCTTACTGCATCACCACATAAGAGAAGGTTGACGAGCAAGACAGACCAAGGCACCAGAGGCCAGACTTTCTTTGTAACAACCTACTGTCAAGATAACCTCTCGCTGGAGAACAATGTTCATTCATTCATTCATGAGGGTTCTGCCTCCATGACACAATTACCTCTTGTTAGGCCCCACCTCCAAAAACTGCTGCATTTGGGATTAGTTTCCAACACATAAACTTTTGGGGGGGGGTACATTCAAACCATAGAAACATGACTTAATTAGTTAAAATCCCTTAAAAGTGGGACTGAGCACTCCCTAATGAGAAAGACTCTCTCTTCATCACTGGCTTAAAAAAAGTAAGCGCCTCTGTTGTGAGAAGCCCTATGGAGAGGGGAATGTGGCAAGGAGCTGCAAAGAGTGCAAGCAGCTACTAGAAGCTAAGGGTGTCCTCTTATTGACAACCAACAAGAAATCTGTACCTCAGTCCTACAACTACAGAGAAATGAATTCTGCCAACAACCGGAGATCTTAGAAGATGATCTTTCTCTAGCAAATCTTTCAGATGAAGATGCAGCCTGACCAATACCTAAACTGAAGCCTCTTACACCCTAAGCAGAGGACCCCATTAGGTTGCATTCAGACTCCTGACCCACAAAAACTGTGAAGTAGTAAATGTGTGTTGTTTAAAGTTGCTAAATAAATGAGATGATGTATTATGCAGCAATAGAAAACTAATACAATTGCCAACATCATTTTGGTTGCTGGGCAATATTCCCATTCTTTAAAGGGGATTTATCTTATTTGGTTATACACATGAAAAAGTAGAGAATTGGACATAGGGTAGATGATCAGGAAATATTTTTTATTGACTGGAAATATCCGATAAAAATAATCTATGGTATAATGAATATGTCTTGTCTGTTACATTTCAGCTTTCCAAAGAATATTTACACTTCCAAGGAGCACATTTGATGTCACTGCCTTCTTCCTTTGTGCTGAAAGTCAGTAGTTTGACGTATTTTTTCTAATGGGTCTCTTATAAAATGCATATTTCAGTCCCCCCTCCACAGAAATAATATGTTAAAACCTTACCCTAATAAAAGGGTATTAGAAAGTAGGGACTTTAGGAGGTAATGAGGCCATGAGGGTGAAGGCTTCATTATGGGATTAGTGTTTTTATATGAAGAGAGAACAGAGGAGAGATTCTCTCAATTAGATAGATTACTAGATAGATAGATAGACAGACAGATAGATAGTTATAGATGTAGACATACATATAGATATCTGTCACCCGCCCTTCCCTCCCTCTGTCTGCCATGTGAGGATACAGCACAAAGTTGTCCATCTGTAAACTAGGAAGAGGACTCTCGTGAGAAATCAGGCAGGCCAGCCTCTTGATCTTGTACCTTACAACGTCCAGAATTGCTAGCAATAAATTTCTATTGTTTAAGCAAGACAGTCTATGGTATCTTGTTATAACATCCCAAGCTGACTAAAATAGGGTCAAGTTCTGCCTTGGGACATTGGCGAATAGCTTTTATAAAAATAAATCAGTGAGTGTAAAATATACGCACTGAGAGCATTTTAAATTTTATAGTATTGTTATCTTCTTTAATGAAAACAATATCAATTGAATTAAGCCCAACTTCATCACACTCATTCATACTTACTCAAGCCATCAATATATACATATTCTTCAATCAGAAAAACTATGAAAGTTCTTTTTTTTCTTTCCTCTAGTGTAATATGGCTCTTACAATGTTTATAAAAATGCTTTTATACAAATATTCCTAGGATGAAAAAAAAGACTTTCTCGTAAGTAAAATTTGGCCTGGAGGGAAAAATAAAACATGGTAGGTTAGAGCTGGAGATAATAAAACTTCTGAGCAAACTTTGAAGCTCTCTGAAAGTACTAGAGCAGCTTTTGATAAGTGCTATCACTGTGTGCAAGTGTCTGATTTGGTCTTAAATTTTGTCACTCTGTTTATTCCGCATAACTTCACACTTCAGCCAAATTTGTTTCCATGTGTTTTATGTCCTCTGAGCCTAGTTTTCTAGTTCAAACTGGGCTACATGACTTCACTGTAATTTCTAACTACTATCCTATTTAAAAAAAAGTTCATGTTCTACCTTCTCTATAAGAAAGGCTAATACTCCTTTGAATTTTCAATATATAATATAGCAAACTATCTTTCTGGTAAAGGGAAGGACGAAAGGAGGAAACTGTGGGCAATGAGTTACTCAAGGCAGCTTGCTATAAGATTTTTGTTTATTTTTTAATATTTTCTTTTCTAAAATAATTTCAACTTTTGTATTAGATTCAGGCAGTACCTGTGGAGCTTTGTTACATGAGTATATTGTGTGAAGGGTGAGAATGTAAATTAGTTCAGATACTGTAAATTATTTTTCATTATTGAATACTTTATCTTTTTACAGCAGTTTTGGGTTCATGGCAAAATTAAGAGGAAGTTAAAGAGATTTCACATATGCACCTTACCCCTATACATGTGAATCCTCCTCCATCATCAACATTCTCCACCATAGTAGTACATTCATTATAATTGATGATCTTACATTGACACATCATAATCACCCAAAGTGTAATTTACATTAGGGTTTGCTCTTGGTGTTGTACATTCTATATGTCTAGAAACATGTGTAATGACATGTATTTATATAGTACCATACAGAGAATTTTCATTCCCTAAAAATCTTCTGTGCTTCACCTATTCATCCCCTCTCTCTCTTAATGCTTGGAAACCACTAATCTTTTGCAGTATGCTATAAGTGATATTTGTGACTATAAGGCTAATGATGGCCATAAGGCCCACTCAAACATCTCGCAGAACCTATGCTATGTGACACTTAGCAATATGATATAACATGGGCTGGAGACTTTTAATCCTGGCCGAGGGATTACTAAGTATTTATAATGACAGCACTTAAAAACACTGGTTGTCCTAGAGACAAGGACACCTCAGCACAGATGCAACTTTCGTAAACCTTAAAACAAATCTTACTCTTATAAGAATAGCTTAAACTCCCTTTATGAAGCAAACACCTGTTAACAGACCTGGAGTGTATGTAAGTATAAGAAAGGGGGAACAATTCCCTAACCTCTGAGAATCGTCTCCAGATGGAGACCCTCCCAGTCAGGCACTCTTCTAACACCTGAGTGGATATGGCCCAGCCTATGATCCAGCTCTCACTGTCCATCTTGTAAGAGTACTCCCAGAATAAACATCAGATTCATCTTTAGTGTGAATTGGACCAAAGGGAACATATCATCCCTGGGAGAGTTGGTTAACAGGGGCCACCCAAGACCCCTAAACATGACATCTTTTTGCTGTCACCATAGTTTTGCCTCTTTAAGAATGTAATGTTGTTGAAGTCATACAGCATGTAGCTTTTTTCAGTTTATCTTCTTTCACTTGGTAATACTTATTTAATGTTTCTCCATGTTTCATGGCTTAAAAGCTCATTTCCTTTTAGAACTGAATAACATTCCCTTGTCTAGCTATGCTACAGTTTATTAACCCAATCACCTATTGAAGGACATCTTGGTTGCTTTCAAGTTTGAGAAAATATAAATAAAGTTGCTACAAATATCCATGTACAGGATTTTCTGTGGACATAATTTGTATTGCTAGGTTTTATGGTACGGTATGTTTAGTATTATAATAAACCATGAAATTGTCTTCAAAATCCACTCTACAATTTTGCATTCCTACCGGCAATTAATGAGAGTTCTTGCTATTCCATATTCTTGTCAGTACTTGGTGTTGTCAGTGTTTTAGATTTTGGCCATTCTAGTAGGTGTGTAGTGGTATCTCATGGTTGTTTCGATCTGCATTTCCCTGACGACATATGTACTAGTCAGGGTTCTCTAGAGAGATAGAACTAATGGAATAGGTATATATATATAAAGGGGAGTTTATTAAGTATTAACTCACATGATCACAAGATCCCAAAATAGTCCATCTGCAGGCTGAGGAGCAAGGAGAGCCAGTCTGAGTTCCAAAACTGAAGAACCTGGAGTCTGATATTTGAGGGCAGGAAGATCCGGCACAGGAGAAAGATGTAGGCTGGGTAGCTAGGCCAGTCTCTCTTTTCACATTTTTCTGCCTGCTTATATTCTAGCCATGCTGGCAGCTGATTAGATTGTGTCCACCCAGGTTAAGGGTGGGTCTGTCTTTCCCCACTACTGACTCAAATGTTAATCTCCTTTGGCAACACCTTCACAGACACACCTAGGGTCAAATCCTTCAATCCAATCAAGTTGACACTCAGTATTAACTATCACAAGTCCACCCCTTGTCAACTTGAACCCACACATATCTCCTGAGATCATACATAATCTTCAAATAAAGACAATAATGAGGTCATAATTACACCTAACATAATACAACTATGCTTCGTACAACCAGAAATGCACCAATCCCCAACCCAAATACTATTACATAAAGTTAACAATACTTAAATGCTGATGTGAAATCAATAAATCTTATGTAACGTGATAAAGGAGAAAGGAAATAAAATGAAGATATTTCTTTAGTACAAGCATATACATGCACAAACATGTTTTTAACAAAAGAAGGAAGAAATACTCATGACAATTATAGTCCTTGTTTCTGCAGCTGGTCACGTGGCTGTAGCTGGTATAGATGACTACCTTCTTCTACTACACATTCTGTATTCCCTTTGCCTTCAGCAAGCATCTCAGCAGGTCATGGTTCTTTTCCTTGTTGAGTGACACAAACCTTCATTCCTGAAGGGTCTGGGTTATTTGTGGTCCTGCCTGAATTAGGCTGTTGTAGTTTTGCATTGACCTTAATCACAGGCCATGGTAATACTAAAAGACACCCTAATGGATCTCCTGTATTCTATGCATACTCTTTCTTACCACCATTTTGGAGTAGTAGACTGATTTCATCTTGATAGTCTGTGTCAATCATCCCAGCCAACACTGTAACACCATTCTTGGCCTGTTGACTTAAAGGCAGGAGGATGCCAAAGTGTCCAGATGACAATCTTAACTTCCAGTTTAATGGAGTCATTGTTGTGTGTGCTTAGTTCCTCCCTCTGGAACTAGGACCTCTAGGCCAGCAGAATGTAATGTCATGAGAACAGGATGTAAAAATTTTGCTAGTGATGGTAATGGTGGCACCATTCACCATCACTACGGGAGATGCAATACTGTTTTTAATTTACAATTTTTCTAGGTAGAGGCAGCTCTAATGGCTTCCATTTGGCCTTACCCACCATAATAGCCCTCACTGTACCAGTCAGGGAGCAAATGTTGGGGTTCTGCCAGCTGCTAAGTATGTCTATGCCAAGTATGCATTCTGGCACTGGGGAAATGACCACAGGATGAGTCCGGGGGCCCATTGTAAGTGAGACCTGAAGCAAAACTCCATTGAATACTTGACCTCCATAAGCCCTACTTTAACTGGAGGACCACAGTGACGTTTTGGGTCCCCTGGAATCAACATCAGGTCAGAGTTAGTGTCCAGTAGTCCCCAAAAGGTCTAATCATTTCCCTTTCCTCAATGCACAGTTACCTTGGTAAAAGGCCAGAAGTCTCCTTGGGGAAGGATGGCAGAAAGATTTACAGCATAACTTGTTGGTAATGTAGTGGGGTCCTTCCTCAAAAGGACCCAGTCTTCCCTTCATTCAAGGGGTTCTGGGTCTGTAAACGGTCTGGGAATTGATTGAGGGGTCATGATTCTTTGTTTCTGTGATTCAAATTATTATTTTGTTCATTCGAACTAGAAGATTTCTGCTTATATAAATCAAGTAGGAATGCAGTAGGCATCCTATCAATTTCACTTCTAGGAACACCGTGATTAATTAGCTAATGTCAGAGCTCTACACAAATCAGACTATTCTGATTGCCACTTTCTCTCTGCTGTCCATTACAGTAGCTACACCAGCCTTGCCTTTGACTGTTGAGTGCTGCCACTTGGCCCCTGCCACCTCAGGATCCGATTATTCTCACTGTACTTAAATTTAGTAGTTGAGTGACTGCAGTTCCCACTGTTAGCTTTGACACACAGAGAAGAGCAATTACAGGGCTCTTCAAAGATGCAGGCGCTGCCCTCACAAATCTATTTTGCAAGGCTTTGTTCAAGGGTATATCTTCTGGACCCTCCCAGCTTAGATGAATAGGTCTAAAGTGACTTATCAACTCCACCATCCAATCTCCCTAAGCCTTTGAATACCTTTCTCAAATTAAACCAAGGGAGATCAGGTGTTTCCAGCTTGCTCACAGTGGGCCATTTTTTATCCATATTTCAGCTAACCAAGCAAACCAGCCTTACATACCTGGGTTTGTTTTTGTTTTTCTAGTTCCTCCAGGTGTGATATTAGATTGTTAATTTGAGATCTATCTTTTTTTACTTAGAAATTTCATGCTATAAAGTTTCCTCTTTACTTTTGCTGAATTCCAGAGATTTAGAAATTTTTATCTGTTTTTATTTATTTCAAAGAAATTTTTTTATTTCAGCCTTATTTTCTCTTTTTACCTAAAAGTCATTTAGGAGAAAGTTGTTTAATTTCCATGTAAATGTAATTGTGTGGTTTTGAGAGATCTTCTGCTATCTATTTATATTTTTATTCCACTGTGATCCAATAGTATGGTTGGTATAATTTTGATTTTTTTGAATTTATTGAGATTTGCATTATGCCTGAGCATGTGATCAGTCTTGGAGTATGTCCCAGGTGCAGATGAGCATATATTCTGTGATTGACGAGTGGAGTATTCTGTAGATGTCTATTGGGTCCAATTGGTCACGTGTTTAACTTAAGTCCAAAATTTTTTTTTAGTTTTCTCTCTCAAAGATCTGTCTAAAGCTGTCAATGGATATTGAAGTCCCTTACTATGATTGTGTGGCTGCCTAAGTCTTTTTATAGGTCTAGAAGTACTTGTTTTGTGAATCTAGATGCTCCATTGCTTGGTGCATATATATTGAAGATAATTATGTCTTCTTCTTGAATTGAAATGTGTATTATTATTTAATGTCCTTCTATGTCCTTTTTTTACTTTTGTTTGTTTAAATTCTGTTTTATCTGATATAAGCATAGTGATCCCTGCTCCTTTTTTATTTCCCATTTACATGATAAATCTTTTTTCAACTCTTTACTTTGAGACTATGGCTGTTATTATGTGTGAGATTGGTCTCTTGAAGACAGCAGATGCAGATGAATGGATCTTTTTTTCAATCTATCTTGCCACCCTATGCCTTCTAAGTAGAGTGTGTTTTTGTGATAGTAGGTATCATTCTTTCATTTCCATGTTTAGAACTCCCTTAAGAATCTTTTGTAAGACTGGTTTAGTAGTAAGGAATTTCATTAGTGTCTGGAAAAGCTTTTATTTCTCTTTCACTTATAAAGCTTAGTTTGGCAGGATATAAAATTCTTGGTTGGAATCTCATTTTTTGTTTAAGAATGCTGAAAATAGTCCCCAAATCTCTCCTGGCTTCTAAGGTCTCTGCTCAGAAATCTGCTGTTAGCCTGATGAAGTTCCCTTTGTATATGATCTTATATTTTTCTCTAGCTGCTTTTAAGATTTTTGCTTTAGCATTGACCTTGTGTGGTCTGGTGACTGTATGCCTTAGTGATGTGCATTTTGTATAGTATCTCACAGGTGTTCTCTGGATTACTTGTATCTTGATGTCTACCTCTTTAGCAAAATTAAGAACATTTTCTTGAATTATTCCCTCAGTTTTTTTTCCAGGTCATTTCTTTTTCTCTGTCTCTCTCAGGAATGGCAATAATTTATAATTCCATATTTCTTGAAGACTTTGTTCATTTTATATACTCTTTTTTTTTTCCTGAGACAGAGTCTCGCTTTGTCACCCAGGCTGGAGTGCAGTGGCACAATCTCGGCTCACTGCAAGCTCCGCCTCCAGGGTTCACGCCATTCTCCTGCCTCAGTCTCCAGAGTAGCTGGGACTACAGGCACCCGCCACCACGCCTGGATAATTTTTCGTATTTTTAGTAGAGACGAGGTTTTACCATGTTAGCCAGGATGGTCTTGATCTCCTGACCTTGTGATCCACTGGCCTCAGCCTCCCAAAGTGCTGGGATTACAGGCATGACCCACCGCGCCCAGCCCTATATTCTCTTTTCTTAATTTTGTCTGTCTCGGTTAGTTTGAAAACTGATGTTCAAGCTTGAGATTCTTTCTTCTGCTTGGTCCAATCTATTGATAAAACTTTCAATCATATTTTGAAATTCCTTAAGTGAGTTTGTTATTTTAAATTCCAGAAGCTGTGCTCTAACATCCTTTTAAGATATTTATCTTTCTTTATTTCCTGGATTGCTTTAGATGTCTCTTTTTTTTATTTTCAACCTTGTCTTGGATCTCATCGAGCTTCTCTGCAATTCATGCTTTGAACTGTTTATCTGTCATGTCTCAGTCCATTTTGGATAGGGATCACTGCTGTAGAAATAATGGGATCCTTTGTGGTGTCATGACATTCATATTATTTTCATGGTGCCTGAATACTTATGTTGGTTCCTTCTCATCCAGAAATGTTGGCATTTCTCATTTTGTAAAATTATTTTTGGGCAGGTGGGATTTTTTCTTTTTCTTTCTTATCTTTATTTTTTTTTCTTCTTTCCCTTTTCCTTCTCCCCTCTAAGGGGTCTGACTGTAGAGAATGCTCAGTAAGGTCTTTTGGTTTTGCTTCTATATCCTTATTCACCTTTGTCACCAGGTTTTATACTGGGCTGTGCAATTCAACCTACAAGCCAGTAGATGTGACTTATGGTTAAGAGGCAGTTGTGGCCAATGTGGCTGAATATATACTTAATTCTTATTTACTGGGATAACCTCTCTGTTTCCTCAGGCAATAGTCTGATTCATGGAGTGCACAGTAAGTAGTCTGAGCTGTGTTCTTAGTCCTGGGGGGTCAGGGGCAAGATGGGCAGGGCTGGACCAGGCAGGTTTAGCTACAAGGTCTCTAATGGCAGGCACAAGTACCAGCACAAAGAGAAAATCCAGAGGATGGCTTCCAAGTACCCAGAGGTTTGCCTAGGAATGGAGTGGGGAAAGCTCCTCACTGCCAAGTTCTCTGCGCAGGGATGGAGGGCAGCCTAAGCTCCTAATCCAGGAGAGTGGGTGCTCCAGATGCCTGGATATCTGCCTTGGCTTAGCATGGAGTTGAGGAGGGCTCCCCGTGCCAGGGTCTCTCCACAGCAATGGTGGGAAGGTTCAGGCTGCTGTTCCAAGCAAGTGGGTGCCCCTAATGCCTGGAGATATGCCTGGGCATGGACTCTGGCTGTTGATCTAGGCAAACAGGTGCTCTGAATGGCTGGACATCTGCCTGGGCATGAAGCAGGGAGGGCCCCCCTTCACCCATATCTATGCACAGGAATGGTAGCCAAGGTTACAAATCTGGGCTACTAGGTGCTTTGAGATCTGCCTAGGCATGAAGCAAAGGGCCCTCCTGCACCATGCTCAATGTCCAGCAAGGGTAGGGCAGCCCAGGCTGTTGGTCCAGGTAAGTGAGTACCCTAAATGCCTGGATCTATGCCTGTGGATGGAGTGGAGAGGGCCCCACTGCACCACAATCTCAGGGGAACAGGCTGGGGCATCCAGCAATGACACATACAGACCAGTTCCACATTGCCAAGTTTGTCCTGGGCTGCAAGTCTCATAATTCAGGAGAAACTGCAGCTGTAGCAGCTCTCCTCCTGCTCCAGGCCTGTGATGAGACAGAACACAATTCCACTTCCTACTGCTGGGGCACTTTCCAGAGTTCTGGCTGTGGGGGTCCATATCCAGCTCTAGAGCAGGCACTCCAATTTCTGGCCTGAAAACTAAAATGCCTGTGTAGGCACACTGCCAGCTCACCAAGGAATGGCTTACGTTATGTTCTTCCAGATTTAAAATCGTGTGCAACTCTCGGTTCTGGGTCTGGGAAAATGACTGCAGCTTTTTCCATTATCTTTCTTCACAGCATCTCTAAGTCTCTCCTCAAGTTAGCTCTAGGGCTTGAGAGAAACAAAGTGCTCTCCCTCAGCCTGGGTTGTTCAGATGCCCAATGAAAAGATGAGTCACAGAGGGAAGTTCTCTGCCTCTCTCACATACTGGGGTTTCACTCACTTTTATCAGCTGGACTACATCACGAGGGCTGTTTGCCCATGCTCTACTCCCTAAGATACTCCGAGATATCCTTCACGATTTCAGTGGATTCCCATTTTTCTTCTTCAAAAAAACTCAGAGTTTATGCACTATCTTGCCATTTCCAAGTAGCTGAGCTATGCTAAAAGTCTGTGCCATCTTGAAAAAAAAAAGTTGTTTTTATAGCTGGACAGAATATATCAGGTAAATAAAAGTGCTGTAAATAGACCTTTAGTAATGTGTGGAGTGAGGGTTTCTATAGTCCTATAAGTGTTCTATAGTCCTATGATTTGATCTCAGTCTTTTAGTAAGCCCATGTCCTGGACTGTGAATTTCACAAGTGTTTCTCAGTTTTTTCCTGCCTTAGGTGGAACGGGATAGCTATAATGAGCTGAAATTGGGTATTTCCCTTCTCTTACTTAGAAAGCTAGAGCTCACTAGAGTTGGAATTTTTTTTTTTTTTTTTTTTTTTTTGAGACGGAGTCTCACTCTGTCGCGCCCAGGCTGGAGTGCAGTGGCATGATTTCGACTCACTGCAAGCTCCGCCTCCCAGGTTCATGCCATTCTCCTGCCTCAGCCTTCTGAGCAGCTAGGACTACAGGCACCCGCCACCACGCCTGGCTAATTTTGTTTTTGTATTTTTAGTAGGGACAGGGTTTCACCGTGTTAGCCAGGATGGTCTCCATCTCCTGACCTCGTGATCCGCGCGCCTCTGCCTCTCAAAGTGATGGGATTATAGGCGTGAGCCACGGCGCCCAGCCGAGTTGGATATTTCTATCTCCCAGGTCAGTTGGGCTCTGATAAGAAACACCGCAGAAGGTTAGGATCTGGTTAACTCGTTTCTACTGGGGGCATACCTTGTTAAAAAGAACAGACTACTGTAGCATATTTCAAAATATTTTCTTTTCTTGGTCTCCTGCTAGAAGGATGAGGAGACTTTTCTCCAGTCTTTAGTGTGAGAATATAGTTGAGCTGTGGAGCTAAATCTCAAAATATTGGGGGCCACCTGCTATTCTTGGGACTCTTGAGTTTTTACTTCTCACAGTTGTCTACACTGAACCTTCAGGAATTTATCATTACAGTTCAAGTTTACCTATCTGTGGTAGTTTCAGGCCACGAGTCTTTGCTCTGGTAAACAATAACTCCCAGTATTTCCCGTCTGTCTTTCCAATTTTGGGTGTAGCAGTTTGTCCGTGTCCTCCATTCTCTTTCAGATCTAGGAAAAGTTGTTGATTTTTCAGTCTGTTTATCTTTTTACCTGTTGTTAGGACACAGTGGCAACTTCCAAGCTTCTTACATGTGGAACCAGAAACCAGCAGTCCCATGTTACAAGGTTTACATAAGAATCTTAAGAGAGAAATTTTCCTAACTCTGTTTCTACAAATGTCCAAGTATACGTTAATTAATTATTTATGATAAATAGGATTTTTGATCAAATGATTTGGAGAAATACTGAGTTAAAGAAAAATCAAACGATTTTTTTAACTTTAGTACTTCTTAGAACCTTTGTTGTAAATCTCCAAGATTACAATTTACTCTGCAGGATTTCCCCAAACTTTTTCAAATATTGAACACTTTTTAACCTAGAAAAACAATTGGGTGTGTTTACATACTCAATACCATTAATTCCTAAAGTTCAGCTCCCAGAGCAGCTACTTCAACATCAACATCTGGGGACTTGTCAGAAATGCAGATTCTTGGGCCTCACCCCACAGTACTGAATCAGAAACTCTGAGGGTGGGCCCAGAGTCTGTGTTTGAACCTGTCCATCAGGTGAATCTAATGCATGCTGAAATTTGAGAGGCATTGCTCTATTTCATGTGTGACTTGAGTAGTCCCTATTTAATATGGTTAGGCTTTCTGTCCCCACCTGAATCTCATCTTGAATTGTAATCCCCAGGCATTGAGGGAGGAACCTGGTGAGAGATTATTGGATCATGGGGGAGGTTTCCCCCATGCTGTTCTCGTGATAGTGAGTGAGTTCTCACGAGATCTGATGGTTTTATAAGTGTCTGGCAAGTTCCTCCTTTGTTTACGCTTCTCTTTCCTGCCACCATGCAAAGAAAAGGCCTTGCTTCGCCCTTCACCTTCTCTCGTGATTGTAAGTTCTGAGGCCTCCCAGCTATGTGGAACTGTGAGTCAATTAAACCTCTTTCTTTTATAAATTACCCAGTCTCAGGTAGTATCTTTATGGCAATGTGAGAACAGACTGATACACTACCTATGCTTTCTTTTAGAACAGATATTTACTGAAAGAAATATTTTTAAAGAGTTAGTGAATTAACATTGGGAACTGTGTAACCACTGACACTGGAAACATGATTTCTCCCTGTGGAGTTGTAAATGCTTAGTTTAGAGTAATTAAAGAGACATGAACAATGTTTAATGGCTCTCAAACATTTTACTAAAGACATTGACTCCAAAATCAAAGGTGTTTAATTGATAGGAAAAATATAGATATTTTTCCACTCTCCAGTCTGTCAGTCTTATAATTTACAGCATAAGATATTTCTTTTCAAATGAACATTAAGGAAGTAAATGTGCTAAACGTTAACATCTGTTCTGAAGTAATTCATCAGCGTTGCCATACGCAGATGAGGTGAAACTTTCTTAAATGCCCGTTTAAGTCACTTAAGTTTGCATGTGTTAGTAATGTATGTTAAGTACTTGACAACTTGTGTTGTTTGCAGGGAAATTCTAAAATCCCACTGAATATGGTAGTGTATCACAGCTTTGTAATTATAAATAAAAATATTTATGCAATACCAAAAGGTTTACTGCATAAGCATATGCATAAGTGTGCGTGTATGTGTGTCAGGGGATGGGGGCAGGTATTATTTCTTATCTGTATTGCACGGAAAGAGGCAATAACAAAGTTTGGGTTGACCGACTATAGCTTATCTAGATGGGCCAATGACCGGATAGGCTATTTGCTAGCACTGAAATAAATATTCATGGGATGCATGTGCAGAATGTGCAGGTTTGCTACGTAGGTATACGTGTGCCATGGTGGTTTGCTGCACCTATTGACCCATCCTCTAAGTTCCCTCCTCTCACCCCCCCAACACCCAACAGGTCCTGTTGTGTGTTGTTCCTCTCTGTGTCCATGCGTTCTCAGTGTTCAACTCCCCCTTATGAGTGAGAAGATGCAGTGGTTGGTTTTCTGCTCCTGTGTTAGTTTGCTGAGGATGATGGTTTCCAGCTTCATCCATGTCCCTGCAAAGGACACGATCTCATTCCTTTTTATGGCTGCTAACACTTAAATATTTTTGTCAAGGAAATACCCATTATAGTTACCTATTGTGCCATTTAGGAAGTGATAATTCTGTTGCAGTCAGTGAGATCATATAGGTCTCACTGTTCATAATTAAGGTTCATAATTAAGGATTTAAGCCCAGAGCTAAATAAACCAAGACCAGTTCTCCATGAATAGATTACTTATTTAACCAGCGGTTTTGGTGTGCCTGCTGTTTTACCTATATTGAAAGCTTAATGCATTTTGGTGTGGAAGAGGGTCTGATATAAGACACAGTAGTCTTATATTTCTACTAGTCTTTTACCAAAATTATTTCCCCCATAATTCAGCCAGGTTATTTCAGCTCAAACAATGGGCCTATGGAGCCAAGTAGCACATAAGTAAAGGAACTTAAAAAAAATTCCGTCAGTGTCAAAAGGCAGGAAATTCTCTTTTATATTAATTACTTATGTTTTAATATGGAAAGCTTACACAAAGTGAGCTAAACTATTAGTAGCCATTCACTCATGGGCTGCTTATTGCTATTAACTTTTCTCAATAAAAATTATTAGAGAAGGCCGGGTGTTGTGGCTAACGCCTGTCGTCCCAGCACTTTGGGAGGCCGAGACGGGCGGATCACGAGGTCAGGAGATGGAGACCATCCTGGCTAACATGGTGAAACCCCGTCTCTACTAAAAATACAAAAAAATTAGCCGGGCGTGGTGGCGGGCGCCTGTAGTCCCAGCTACTCTGGAGGCTGAGGCAGGAGAATGGCGTGAACCCGGGAGGCGGAGCTTGCAGTGAGTCGAGATCATGCCACTGCACTCCAGCCTGGGTGACAGAACAAGATTCCATCTCAACAACAACAACAAAATAAAATAAAATTATTAGCTAAGTTTCACTTTTCATTTTCAGACTAGCCATGTACAAAAATAATAATTTTTTATTTTACTAATTTGTTTATCCTCAAAATAACTGGGCTTATACACACGGTCAGTTGAAAAATGTGATAAAGCATTTTTAAGGCCTCATAAATGTCCAGCATTTAGTGGGACCGATGCTTAGTGCATCTTCTCAAACATCAGTATGTACCGCTCTAGGGAAACGTGAGGATCTGAGACTACTAACTACTTTAGTAAAACTGGGAAAAAAATCAACTCATTATTTCATATGCATGATTAATTTATTTGCTTTACCCATAAGATCTCTGGATAGCAAGATTGAAAGAGAAAATCAAAAGCTGTGTGTGTGTGTGTGTGTGTGTGTGTGTGTGTGTGTGTATACATTTGATCTTCTGCCATCTCATGGGATTTGTCTTAGTTCTCATGTCAGAGCTCTTTATCTAGGGAATTGGGTAGGGTAGAAATAGATGATAGTTAAAGACTTCTTGAGCTAAAAAAAAAAAAAAAAAAAAAAAAACTCTAATGGGCTGAAAGTAGAATTTTCAAACAACTAGAAATTATCCTTACCTAGTCTGTGGTGGTATGAAGAAATCTTTAGCTGAGAGAAGAAAAAGCAGATCAATCCAAGAACGTTGAGATTCCTCAGGGTATTGGTCTTGGGATGTTCTCTGTGCATGGTGGAGACAAAGCCCTCATCAGCAAATAATGCTGCATATTGAAGCATGCTGTGGTACAGACTGTACACTACACTTTTCAAACTAAAAAACAGATTAAAAGGTTACTGTGGGAAAGTTTGTGGGTAGTAGAGTATGATTGGCTTCTTTGGTAATCATTAGTGCTATATGCCAAATGCAGTTGGTTTTCTTCCTGAGTACAGGGTAGGATTTTATTTTGCTCCCTTTCTTGTGCCCGCATGACTTGGTTTGGGCAACGTATAATATGAAAGGAAGTGCATGTCACTTTCTCATGGAAGCTTTCAGATTTGGTGAGAGACTCAATATGCTTTTTGTTTCCCTCTGCTGTGGTGCCTGGAAACATTCCAGCAGCCTGGGTCCTACAGTGTTCACCATGCAGATCAAAGCCCTCCAATTGGCCTGAAATGAACATGTAGAATGAGGAAAAAAAAAAGAGTTTCTGGGGTTTGTTGCTACCACAGCATAATCTGACTAATAAAAATCCTTGGGTAGTGCCCTCAACAGCATTTGAAGACGAGCTCTTTTTAAAAATTGATACATAATTTTATACATACTTATGGGGGATATATGATATTCTGTTATGTGCATAGAATATGTGATTGTCAGGTAAGGGTATTTGGGATATCCATCACCTCAAGTATTTATTATTTCTTTGTGTCGGAAACATTTTAATTCCTCACTTCTAGCTATTTTGAAATACACAATACATTGTTGTTAACTATAGTCGCCATACTCTGTTATCAAATATTAGAACTTATTCATTCTAACTGTATGTTTATACCCATTAACCAACCTCTCTTCACCCCCCCTACCCCCACCCGCATACACTTCTCAGAATTTGGTATCTATTATTTTACTTTCTGTCTTCATGAGATGAACTTCGTTATCTTTTGAGTGAGAACATGTGATATTTGTCTTTCTGTGTCTGGCTTATTTTCACTTAACATAATGACCTCCACTTCCATCCATGTTGCTACAAATTACATGATTTTATCCTTGTTTATGGCCAAATAGTAGTCCTTTGTATAAATTAATAGACCACATTTTTAAGTCCAATTGTCCATTAATGGACACTAGGTTGATTCCATAGCTTAGCTATTGTGAATAATGTTGCAATAAACATGTGAGTGCAGGTATCTTTTTGATATACTAATTTATTTTCCTTTGGATTAATACCAGTAGTGGAGTTGCTGGATCATGTGGTAGTTCTATTTTTATTTTTTTTGAGAAATCGCCATACTGTTTTCCATACCGGCTGTATTAATTTACAAACCCACTGATACCTTATGAGTTCTCTAAATCCTTGCCAGTATTTGCTAAATTTTTTGATTTTCAAAAATAGCCATTCTAACTGGACTATTACTAAAATATTTCATTATGGTTTCAATTTGTATTTCTCTGATTAGTGATTTTGAGCATTATTTTTCCCATACCTGTTGGCCATTTGTATGTCTTTTGAGATGTGACTATACAGATCATTTGTTCATTTTTAAATGGGATTATTTGTTTTTTTGCTGTTTGATTTCCTCGTATATTCTGGATATTAGTCCCCTGTCAAGTGAATAGTTTGCAAATATTTTCTCTCATTGAGCAGGTTGTCTCCTCATTCTGTTGATTGTTTCCTTTGCTGAGCAGCAGCTTTTCAGTTTAATATGTCCAATTTGTCTATTTTTGTTTTTCTTCCCTGTGCTTTTGAGGTCTAATCTGTGAAATCTTTGCCTAGACCAATGTCCTGAAGTGTTTCCTCCATATTTTCTTCTAGTAGTTTTACAGTTTTACAGGTCTTACATTTAAGTCTTTAATTCATGCTGAGTTGATTTTGTATATGGTGAGAGATGGGGTCCAGTTTCGTTCTTTTCCATGTGGGTATCCAGTTTTCCCAGCACCATGTAAGAGAGTGTCCTTTCCCCGGTGTATGTTCTTGGAAACTTTATGAAGATCATCTCTTGTTGTGTATTTGGTAGCAGAAGAATTCAAGGAAATGATGGCTTACCTATAGATTAAGAGTATGGTTCTTCTTTTAGAATTTTTTGTGACATATGGAACCCTGCAGAGAGAGGGAGCCCTAATGGTACCCGAAGTTGAAATTCTTACATTGGGAAAGGCTTTGATGTAATTTCAGTATAAAATATATTTTAGGTTTGTGCACTAAGAATACCACCTGTTACATATACTTTGTGTCTGGAAATCTCTGCAGCCCAGTGTACTAGACATGCTCCATCAACTGACTTGTTCACTTTAACTTTTTTTTAATTTATTTTAATTTTTCTTTATTTTTTGAGACATAGTCTCACTCTGTCGCCCAGGCTGGAGTGCCGTGGCATGATCTTGGCTCACTGCAACCTCCGCCTCCCAGCTTCAAGCAATTCTCTCCCTCACCCTCCTGAGTAGATGGGATCACAGGTGTGCGCCACCACACCCGGCTAATTTTTGTATTTTTAGTAGAGATGGGGTTTCACCATCTTGGCCAAGCTGATCTTGAACTCTTGACCTCATGATCCACCCACCTCAGCCTCCCAAAGTGCTGAGATTACAGGTATGAGCCACTACTTTGGCTTCTAAGATGAAAACTTCAGCTCATACTCCATGCCCTCCTCCTCAGAAGAGCTATTGTATTGATTGTATAAGTAAATATAACACTAGAAATAAGATCACTAAATTATTGAATGTGTAAAATGTGCCAAACAATATGTTAAGCAGTTTACATGGATTTTCACGTATGTTCCTTTCAATAAATATGTGAGGGAGATACTAACCTCATTTACCATTTCAGAAACTTGGAAATTGTAAATGTTTAAAACTAGCCCCAAGCCACACAGTTTGTAGGTGGCAGAGCCAGAATGACAGCCCAGGTCTTCTTGATGCCAGTGCCATTGCTCTGTATAGCCCTCATTAATCACCTCTCACCTGGGTTACTGGAACAATTTTCTAACTTCTGTTTCTGCTTCTCTGATTTTCTTCTTTATCCCTCCAATTCTAGATAGAATGATTAATAAATACTACAAATACGACCTTGTAAGTTCTTTTACTAAAATTGTACTGGCTTCCAACTGCTTTTTACATAAAATATAAACTCCTCATTGTGCCACATAAGGCCCTCAAGGACAAGGGCCCCGTCTCCTTCTCCACATAAATTTTCCACCACTTCTATCTTTCTATTTTATGTTCTTCTAATAGGAGAGCACCTTTGCTCTATTAATGCTACTGATTGTCACCTTGCTTTATACAGTGTCTTCCACATGCACTGCTGGGGAAGATCTTTCAAGGGAAGACCTATATACCTTTACACCTAAATCCAACAAAAATTTAACAAGACAACATAGGTGTAACTGTTCCATGGAAACTTCTGCAATATTCCCATCTGGATTATAAGTTTCTGTTCTCCCATGGAACTTTATGCAGGGCCCTATCATTGTATACATAATTTTATGATTTAAGTATATGAGCCCTGAAATCAGAGAAACTCATGAGTTTAAATATCAGCTCTGACACTCTTTAGTTAAATATACTTTCAACAGTTATTTAACCTCTCAAAACCTCGGTTTCATAGTTGGTAAAAATAATGTAAGCATAGAGCTTCCTGTACAAATTTTTATTTTGTTATGTTTGTATTAAATAATGAGTTTAATATAATGCCTTAGTATAGTCAGAGTTCAATAAAATATTTGTTGATATTTGTATTTCACTCACCACATTATAATATGATTACCTAAATATCTGTTTATGAACTCTTTAATGCCAGGAGGCATAATTTTTCTTCTTTATAGACCAGTGTCTATTGTAGTAGACCCTAGTAAGCATTTGTTATTTGAATAAATATGCAGATAAAAAAAGTAGAGTGACATTTAAGATGCTTAAACTCAAAGGCATTAATATATATCCAGGTTTCCTTGGGATGCCAGAAAATCTTAAAAATACAGCTCTGGGTTTTGGACAAGAGGAGAATAGAATCTACTCCTAAGACTGTATGAAAGGATAGAAGAAAAATATGAGGGCTGCTGAAATAACAAAAGGAGTCCTGGATTGTTCCAGTATACACAATAAAATAAGTGATCTGCTGTAACTGAGATTAAGGAGGAAAAATTGGAAGTTTATAGGCTGAAGAGATTTGGAATATTTTTGAGAGCAATAAGCCAAGGAGTCAATGAGGGAGAAATATCAGGCATGCTGAACAGTGGTCAGGGCCAGCTTACAGCTGGTTTGTATAAATATTAAGGAGGCCAGGTCTGCTTGGCTATAGCTCTTTATCCAGCATGGATGCAGGCATAAAGAAAGTGGCCTTCATAGTGGATCTCCTGAAGAAAATTATCAAGGACAAGGGCAAGGGCAACACAAAGTAAGAACAAAGATTAAATAGTCAGGATATAGAATTATACTGTAATATTTTACAATGGACCAATCAGGTCCAAAGCTATTAGCACATATTAAGATTTCTGTAAATATTTGTTGAAAACTTTTAATGAAATGAGTAACAGATATGCCATTTCTGGTCATATATTTCATGCATAAAGCCCAACATAATGAATAGAATATTCCTTTCAAGATATAATATTCCTCCTGAGGAGATAGTATTTTGTGCTTGAATTACAATATTTCTCAATTCTAGTTTCCAAATATACTCAGAAAAAAATTAATGGAAATAAGTAAATGACTCTACAAATAATGTCAAGCTGCCTTTCTTTGCTTAACTCTGTTTAAAGAGTATTAAATTTAAAGAGAAAAGAATGGCTCATGATGAAATGAATCATCACTTGAATTTTTTTAGGATCACAACCGCAATAAGCATAATGAATTCCAGTCAGTTTAAAGAATTAACCTGTATAAACATCTATTGTAATATGAGTAACACTGACAGGCTCTACAATAAATTAATATAGACATATGTTGTTGTTGTTTTTCCCTGACTTCATTTTAACTTGTATGTGCCTTTAATGGCATAATGGGAAAGGGAGATGAGAAGGGAGAAGATAATAAAGAAGAAAGGAATAACTAAGGGAAGGAGGCAGTATAAGCAAAACCTGGTATTTGGGAATTTAAATTTAGAGAAAAAAAATGAGCTGTTTCTTTTGGACTATTTATTTTGAATCTTCCAAACTCATGTGTTCATCTAGAAATGACCTTTTGTAGTACCATAGGATAGTGTGACAGAACAGATTATAGGAAGAAGTAACCATAAGTGGATGGCTAGGATTAGGAGTGGGAAGGTGGGGTTTAAACACTTAAACCCACTTAAGCCAGGCACAGAAAGACTAACATCATATGTCCTCACTTATTTGTGGGATCTAAAAATCAAAACAATTGAACTCATTGTCACAGAAAGTAGAAAGCCCTTCCCAGAGAATGGGTTGTATGGGAGGAGGGAATGGTTAATGGGTACAAAAGAAAATAGAAAGAATGAATAAGATCTACTCTTTGATAGTGCAATGGGGTGACTATAGTCAATAATAACTATATATTTTAAAACAGCTTAAAGAATGTAATTGGATTGTTTGCAACTCAATGGATAAATGATTAAGGGGATGGATACACCATTCTTCAATATGTGCTTATTTCACATTGCATGCCTGTATCAAAAAATTTCATGTACCCCATAACTGTATACACCTATGTACCCACAGAAATTGAAAAAACAAGAACAAAATTAAATATATATATATTTCAATGTGTGTTTATTATATTAGCAAACACAAGTAATCAGTAAATTATAAAATAGTGGGAGATGTACCAATTCATTAAAAAGCCACAAGCCCTTGAAATATAAGTAAGTAAAGAAATCAGGCAGGAATGCAGAGAAGAAAACTCGTATAGGTCATATGTACTTAGCTTATCACAAACATTTTCTGTCTCGTTCATTCTTTGAAAGGTCAAATTTCTCAAACTATCTGATCCAATTTTTCCACCCACACTGACTGGCGATAATAGTGTCTCCATTAAAAATTAGTTATTTAAACTGTCAGTAATTTATAAGAAAAAGAAAGGTGTAATTAGCATCATATTGCCAATAATACCAGTTATTATGTCTTTTTAAAATGAAGATGGTGCTAGTGATAAAAATCAGTAGAATGCAGGGGTTCAACTTTTTTCTGATAGAGTAAAATTAATTCATTAATACCTCTAAGATACTCATGATGGCTATTATGTCACTCTTCTAGATTATGGAGAAAAAATATTAATATGATATAGACCTGGTCTTGCAAACAATCTGGTAGAGGAGAAAAGTATGTTAATCATATGCAACATTTTAGGTGCCTTATGAAGACAGTGATAAAGTATCTAAGAAGAACAGAGACCAAAATAACTAAATCAGAAAGTTTGTCTAGTACCCTTCTACCAAAACATACAATTCTATTTGTACTTTGAATGATAATGGAAAAGAAGTAGGAAAAATGTCCTGAGGATAGGGCCTACACTATGGCAAGACCTGCATCCAGAGAGTAGGAAACTTATGGAAGCTATCTTTCAAGTAGAAATGAACAGGAATTGATCAATTACAATGGGAGGAGCAAGGAGGAGAAATAAGCCAGTGTTGAGTGTTCTCAGAAATTTCATAAGAAAGAATAAACTATTAATATATATTGAATAAATTTAAAAAATTCATCTAATAGTCTCTATTTGCTTTCCCCACTAATTGACCTTTGGCCAAATCATTATGGATATCCATAAGCATAGAATTTACCTGGATTTGATGCAGAGTGGGTGAAATGAATGACTGTTCAGGTTATGCATGTTGGATTTTCTTAACAGGAGATTTTTCAAATTTATTTCCAGTTGTATCCAATCTGATAATTCAAATAGTTCATATAGGGCAACATTGAGTGCCTTTTAAAAAATGTTTTGTTTACTGCTAAATTTCTACCATCTGGCTAGTACATGGCACAAGGTGGACATTTAATAATTACTTTTGAATAATTGAAGAGAGAATGTGCCATGAAAACAAAGCATCAAGTCAAAGCCTGTAACAGAACAACAATCTTGATAAGAAAGCCAGTGAGGAATGAGTTTAGGGAAAGTGGACATGCATGAGGTTAAGGAGGTAGCCAGCGACCTGATCTTGAGGCTTTTGCAGGACATGGCAAAACATTTAAATTTTGTTCTAAGGGGAATAGAAAATTTTTAAAAAATTTTGCACAAGTGGTGCATGGGTGTATGGCATCATCTAACTCTGTTTTTTTTAAAGATCATTCTGTCTGTTGGTTGAAGATTACACCATCTGCATGAGAGACTTGACATGAGGAGAATAATTAGAATGCTATTTCATTATCTTAGCTTCGTTGAAAGTGATTATGGTAAAGATCATAGCTACACTTTGAAGGTAAACCAATAGGAATTATTGACAGATAATTGTGCATGTCAAGGACAGGTAGGATCAAGAATGGCTCTTAGGTGATAAGTTACCATAAACTTAGTGTCTAACAACAACATGTATTTATTATCTCACAGTTTCTGTGGATCAGGAATCTAGGCACAGCTTCACAGGGGCCTCTTCTTAGGGTCTCATGAGGGCTGAAATCTTTATCTGTAGGCTCTGGGGAAGAGTTTGCTTCCAACCTTACTCACGTTGTAGGTAGAATGCATTTCCTTGTGGTTGTAAGATTGAACACATGAGTTTCTAGCTGCCTATTGGCTTGTGTTGTTCCTCATTACCTGGAGGCTGCCCTCAGCTTTTTGCCATAGGAGTTTCCAAAGCATAGCTGCTTACTTTTTTAAAGATAGCAAGGAGAGTCTTTAAAGAAAGTCTGTTAGCAAGATTATATAACAAAACCATGAGAGCGATATCTTGTCACCTTTTCCACATTCTACTGGTTAGAAGAAAGTCACATGTCTGCCCCACCCATCAGGAAAAGGGATTAGACAAAGTCATGAATACTAGAAGTTAGGGGTCATGAGGGGACGCTCTTGAATCTGTCACAGGTGGAAAAGTGGTTGGGCCTCTAATGACAATATTATACAACGGAACTGACTCTGGGATCACCTACTATGGAACTTTACCTTACATATGACTTTTAAAAATCCTTACTCATTAAATCCACTTTTGGTAAGGGGTTCTGCCACTTCCAGCCAAAAGTATCCTGTCTGACACAGGGACATGAAAGATTAAGAACTTCTCACTTGAGGGTCTCTATCTTCCCTTTGTAGTAGAGGAGGATGATATATTTTGGCTTTACCATAAATGAAAGTTTAACATAGCTGCTACAGTGAGTGGGAAAGGGGGATAAGTTAGGATCACATAGAAGGAAGTTCAGGTCATGTTTAGAGACCAGGTGACATTACAAAGTCAGTATTTAATTACAACAATCTGAAAACTTTGCATTTTTACCCTCTGTTCAACAACCTTGATGTTAGATAGAACATCAATGAAGTAAGAAACTGTCAAAGTATATCCACATCCTGCATTGCATAGGATTTGGAAAATTAAGAAAATTCCTCTTAAGGAACTGAAAGTGAAGCCATCTTCTTAGGAAAGAACCAGGTGTTAATAAATAGCAGTAGAGGAGGAAGCATTCTGTAACATGTTAAGGGGTTTTGTTTACATGAGATTGGAGTTGTTGGGTGGAGTTCAAAGGTCTGGTTTGTGTTGGAAGATCTCTTTATTCAGAAGAGATAGACATATGGGGACAACCTTACTGAAGAGAAGACATTATCAACCACTACTGGATTTATCAGATTTGTTGCTTTTTACAAAACTAGACTTCCAGCAGATATAGAGATATTTGAAATCCCACATTACCGCTATATCTTGCTTTTGTGACAGTTTCACGATCTGTATTAGGGAAGCATCTGCCAGACTGAGTGAGCTGTCATCTACTTCCACAGCAGCATCAATTATGGTTTTCTTTCATTTTATCCTCAACCAAATGTTCTCTACTGTGATCCACCCTCAGACCCACGGATTTCCGTTCAGTTGCATATCTCCTTTGCATGCAGGAATACTCCTTCATCACTTGTGTTTCTTCTGCCTTTTTAAGAAAACGATTAAATTAATCCTGTCTTTGGCCACTTCCCTAAAAAGTTTCCATGATGGATATGAAATGATATTAACTGAATTGTGCTAAAATGTCTTTTTTTGGTGGTATGTATTATCTGTTCTCAGTATTTTTATCTTCACAGCTAAGCCCCTTTGTATGTTTCCTGATTAGATTTCTGATGATTCCAAATGACATGCTGGAATTTGGCTCTTTTACCATTGTTTGCTTTATTTTCCTTTCTATTTCTTGCCTTTTATTTTCTATAGTATTCTACCTTGCAAAACCTTTCTTTTAAGAGAGTCAATCATTTAAATTTTTAAAGTGACTTGTACAGATTGGTTTGAATCATGACAAATGTATTTTCCCTAGTTCTCAGGAGATGTCCTCTTTTATACTTCCAATGGCACTTATTCTTGCTAAAGCTGTTTTTATTAAACTATCCTTTAACGTATCTTAGAGATGAGTTTATTTAGAGAGAACTAAAATGTCTTTGATCATAAGAATTCCAGTAGTCACCAAATGTGGTGGATTCTAGGCACCCAACAAATCTTCTTACTTTAGATACAGCCTCAGGGAACCTAATCCTGCCTTCTGCACAGAGTCAAACTGTTATAGGTTAGATTCGAGGTGGGTCAATCAGTTCAGCCCCTTCTCAGGAATACAGATAGGAATTTCATGGGAGATGAGGCAACCTGATGAACAATGCCTTGTTTATAACTACTTAGGAACTCCTTATCCCTAGAGCTGTTTTGGTAACTGCCCTTACAGAGACTTTGTTACTTCATTCTTCCTTTGCCTTTTGAATACCATATAATGTTAAAATAAATCTCCTTGGTGTGTAAGTAGGCTAAAGTCAATTGCTTCCTATTGCATGTACCGAAAATAACCTTAAAAGATACAATCAATTTGTTAGTGCTACATGGAGAACTGCTCAATGCCCAAGGATAATACATTTACATTTAAGTACTTTTTAAAAAATCTCTGCCATAAATAAAAGTTGAATCTGAACAAAAAAACTATAGGTAAATCAGTGAAAGTACATTATCACTTCTGGAAAAGGAAAAGAATGTATACAAATCATTCTAAAACTGAATTATAACATAAAAGCATACTTCAGATATGTTTTGGCTATGAGCTGGATTATAAAGAGTTATGCTTCATTTTTTAATGTGTCACAGAATTCATTTAATTACTAGTTATATCATGTGTTTATTATTCAAGAACAAAATTTTTATGTGCTACATTTCTGTGACAATTCCTTTTTTTGTGTGTAATTTACTGAGAGAAAAATAAAAGGAGATAAGATTAATCCATCTCTTATATTTACTCCAGTTCAGTCTATAAAATAAAATGAAGGTGGTGGAAGAAGGCAATTATAAGATTTAGTTTTCTCTCCAAGAAGCTCAAAGTACTTATCTGTCGTTATTCAATTGATTTTGTAGGATCCCCTTGAGAGTTGAGGAAAACAGCTATTTTATAACCAGAGAAACTAATGCAGAAACACCACATGCTCTGTTAACTATAAGAGCAGGATTAGGAATCACAACTTCTGAGTTTGTAAAATATTGTTAACCCATTAAATTGTTCTGGGTTCCATTGTTTATACAGCTTCTTCCTATTAACTGTGCTTCCAATGCAGCAATGAAGTAAATGGCTAAACATTTTATGAACCTTCTGGTTTAAGGTGAAAGCAATCAGTTAGTGTCAATTAACTTCATTAATGGATCAACCCGTGTCTTTACAACTCTTTACAAAAGCATGTGGATCACTGTTAAAATAAAACATGCATATCGATGGGACAAAAACACTGTAAAAGTTGCAGTCACTTTTTGTAGTATTCTAACAAATGTTTTATGTGTGTATTGTGTCTTTCAATGTCATCTGACTTTGATTTTCTACATTTACCATCCACTTCACCCAAACTGTTTCTTCTCCATGAGGGGAACATGACTTTTTTCTTTTACACTTATTTTCTTTACATTTATTATTATTTTTTAAGTTATGCCATTTCACCTGACATAATATCATCTCTTTCATTTAACTCTATCCAAATTCTACTATCCTACCTTCTCTGTAATATCTTTCCAGGAACTTAAATTATCCTTCTCACTTTTATATTCAAGTCCCATTTTTGTCTGTTATTAGGAATATTAGTATTATGCATTACATTACTTTTCCTTTGAACATTTATTAAGCCTTCATTGTTACTTCCTGTACTTACAGCTCTTCTTCCCAAAGAGATGAAAATCTTCCAAGAACAGAAAAAATGATTTACCTTATTCTAGGTCAGATAATAATTAGGGCAGTATTTTGCACTTATCAGGTGCTTAATAAATGAACAGTTAAAAGGCGTTGATTAATAGCATGCTTAAGTGGATTTGAGCTTTGGAAAGCAGAGGAAACTTTTTAGAATTCTTGATATGTCCCTTTAATAATACAAATTGTGGGAATTCCATATTGTTATATCTTAAATGAAGAATGTGTTGAAAAAAAACAGGAAATATTTTGTAATTTTTCTAACACTAAGATGTCATTAGCAGTTTAGATGGTATATATAGGCTAAATAGCACAAACACTAGAAACACCTTTACATTAATATTAATATTGATTGTCGTAGTTGAAAATAGGATGTCATATTTGTTGATTGGGCGTTTTAATCTATTGTCTATTTAGGCATTCATTGGTTTCTGTATGAACAGACAAAGGCTATCCCAAAACCTACCTTTAAAATCTTATTCTCTACCTATGGTTTTGACCACACTCATCTACACTTGTTATTACCTATTGTCTTCCTTATTGTAATGTTGATAGTGATCAACTTCACGATTTTAACCCTTTGTATACAAGTGCTTACTCCAGCACCTGGACCACCTCATTTCTCTGAACTTTTTTCTATATATTTCATCATCTTTCTTTACTCAAAAGCCTACACATTCAATTAAAAAAAATCTCTTGAGTTATTAGCAGCAGAGTACTGGGATACCTGCTGCCAGTGACTGATTATGTCAAAATATTTCAGAAGGCATAACATATGAATCATTTTATCAAGCTATTGTGCTCTAGGATTTTATCCTAAGGAAACTATCATAATTAGGCAATAATTTTAATATACAAAGATGTTCACTATAGCATTATTCAAAATGTCAAAAATACTGAAAATTGAAATGGGGAAATAAATATTTTGTATTCACAAATATGAATCAGCATATTAACTTAAAGAATACTGTAAAAATATATCATTTTAAAGTTTTAAGTGATAAATTACATATATTTATGGGGTAAAATATGGTGTTTCGGTATATGTATACACTATGAAATGGTCAAATCAAGTTAATTAACATATCCATCACCTCAAATATTTATCATCTTTGTGCTGAGAATATTTAAACTCCTCTCTTTTAGCTATTTTGAAGAATACAATACATAATTATTGACTGCAGTCACCATACTCTGCAATAAACCACCATAATGTATTCCTTCTATCTAACCAAAACTTTGTACCCCTTGACCAGTGACCCCTTTCCCCACATCCTCAGCCTCCAGTAACCACCATTTTATATTCTACTTTTAAGAATTTGACTTTTTTAGATTCCACATATAAGTGAGATCTTATGGTGTTTGTTTTTCTGTGCCTAGTTTATTGCACTTAGCAGAATGTTCTCTAAGTTCTTCCATGTTTTCACAAATGACAGACTTTCCAGCTTTCTTAAGACTAAATAGTATTCCATTGTACATATATATCAGTTTAAATCCATTTGTCCATTGGTGGTCACTTCAGTTGTTTCCATATCTTGGTTATTATGAATAATGCTGCTATGATCATGAGAGTGCAGATACCTCTTCAATGATACTGATTTCAATTCCTTTGACTTAAACCCAGAAGTGAGATTTCTGGATCATAATTTTATTTTCAGTTTATTAAGGAAAAAACATAAAAGCTTTCCAAAATGGATGTACTAATTTAAAATACCAACAGTGTGCAAGGGCTCACCTTCCCACAGTACTCATCAATACTTATCTGTCATCTTTTTTATAATAGCCAATTTAACAGGTATGAAGTGATATCTTATTGTGCTTTTAATTAACTTTTCTGATTAAAGATGTTGAGCACTTTTTCCTATATCTTTTGGCCCTTTGTATGTCGTCTTTTGAGAAATATCTATTCAAGTCCTTTGCCCATTTTTAATATGGTTATTTGTTTTCTTGTTATTGAGTAGTTTGAGTTTCTTAGATTTTTTTATATTAGCCCTTTGTCCAATGTATGATTTGCAAATATATTCTCCCAATATATGGCTTGTCTCTTCACTCTGAAATGTTTCTTTTGCTGTGCTTAAGCTATTTAGTTTAATGCAATCCCATTTGTTAGTATCTGCTTTTGTTGCCTGTGCATTTGGGCTCTTATCCAAGATAATCACTGTCTAACTAATGTCATGAAGCTTTTCCCTTAGGTTTTCTTCTAGTAGTTTTACATTTGCAGGTTTAAATTTTAAGTCTTTAATCTATTTTGAGTTGGTTCTTTTATACTGGGTAGGATAAAAATCAAATTTTATTCCTCAGCATGTGTATATCCAATTTTTCCTAGCACCATTTATTGAAGAGACTGTTTCTTCTGCATTATCTTTTCCACATTTTGTGTTCTGGCACCTTTGTCAAATATCCATTGGCCACAAATATGTGAGTTTATTCCTGGGCACTTTATTCTAGTCCATAGGTTGATTATGTACATTTTTATACCAGTGCCATGTTGTTTTAATTACTAAAGGTTTGCTTGTTTTGCTTAAGATGGCTTTGGCTATTCAAGGTCCTTTGTGGTGCCATACAAATTTTAGAATTTTTTTTTTCCTATTCCTGTGAAGAATGACATTGTAATTTTAATAGGGATTCAATTGAATCTGTAAATAACTTTGGGTTGTATAGACATAATAACAGTATTATTTCAATCCATGAATACAAGATATCTTTTCACTTGTGTCATCTTCAATTTTTTATCAAAGTTTCATAGTTTTTAGTACACAGATCTTTTCGTTCCTGGGTTAAATTTAATCTAAAGTAATTTGTTTCTTTTAATGCTATTATAAATAGGATTGTTACTTTAATCATTTAGATAGTTTTTTTTTAGTGTATAGAAATGCTTCTCACTTTTAGGTGTTGGTTTTGTATCCTGTAACTATTATGAATTTCATTATCAATTCTAAACTTTATAGAGTCTCTAGGTTTTTCTATATATTGGTTTATGTCATAAGCAAACAGAGATAATTTCACTTCTTCCTTTTCTATTTGAATGCCTCCTATTTCTCTTTCTTGTCTACTTACTCTGGGTAGTATTTCAAAGTACTATATTGAACAAAAGTCGTGAGAGTAGGCATCCTGGAGTTGTATCTAACTTAAGAGAAAAAGTGTCAACTTCTCATTATTTAATATGATAGCTGTGGGCTTGTAATAGCCTTTCTTGTGTTGAAGAACATTCCTTCTGTACCTAACGTGTTGAGAGTTTTTATCATGAAAAGATGTTAAATTTTCCCAAATGATTTTTGCATATCTATTAAAATGATTATATGGATTTTGTTATTTATTATGTGAACATGGTGATTTTTTCCATATATATTAAAATGATTATATGGATTTTGTCATTCTGTCAACTTGGTGAATCAAAATTATTTTTTAATTTTTCAAAATTTTGCATGTACATAGTAGGTTTATATATTTGTGGGGTACAGGAGATGTTTTGATACAGGCATGCAATGTGAAATAATCGTATCATGGAAAATAGGGTATCCATCCCATCAAACATTATTGTGTTACAAACAATCCAGTTACACTCATTTACTCATTTATTTTTAAATGTACAATTAAGTTATTGACCATAGTCACCCTGTTGTACAATCAAATACAGTGTGTGTTACTCATTCTGACTAAATTTTTTGTACCCATTAACCATTTCCATCTCCCTCCCAGCATCCCTACTACCCTTCCCAGCCTCTGGTATTGATTTCTCTACTCTCTATGTCCATGAGTTCAATTGTTTTAAATTTTAGAACCCACAAATAAGTGAGAACAGGTGATGATTGTCTTTCTGTGCCTGGCTTAGTTCACTTGACATGTTAATCTCCAGTTCCATCCATGTTGTTACAAATGACAGGATCTCATTCTTTTAGTAAGGCTACAGAATACTGCATTATGTATATGTACTGTGTTTTCTTTATCCATTCATCTGCTGATGGGCACTTAGGTTGCTTCCAAATCTTAACTGTTGTGAAACAACAGTGCTACAACAAACATGGGGTGCATATATCACATTAATACTTGATTTCTTTTCTTTTGGGTATATATCCAATGGTAGGCTTGCTGGAACTAGCATAGCTCTGTTTTTAGTTTTGAAGCTCTGAACTCTTCTCCATAGTGTTTGTACTAATTTACATTCCCACCAATAGGGTAGGAGGGTTCCTTCTCTTCTCCACATCTTTGCCAGCATTTGTTATTGCTTGTCTTTTGGTCATAGGCCATTTTAACTGGAATGAGATGATATTTCATTGTAGTTTTGATATGCATTTCCCTGATGATCAATGATGCTGAGCACCTTTTCATATGCCTGTTTGCCCCTTGTTGTCTTCTTTTGAGAAATGTCTGTTCAAATTTTTTGCTCATTTTTTGATCAGATATTAACATTTTTTCCTATAGAATTGTTTAAGCTCCCATGCAGTGAGCCGAGATTGCACCACTGAACTCCAGCCTGGGAGACAGCGAGACTCCATCTCAAAAAAAAAAAAAAAAGTAGAATTGTTTAAGATCCTTATATATTCTGGTAATTAATCCCTTGTTAGACGGATAGTTTGCAAATATTATCTCCCATTCTGTGAATTCCATTTTGATTTGATTTTTGAAAATGGTGAGAGATAGGGGTCTAGTGTCATTCTTCTGCATATGGGTATCCAGTTTTCTCAGCACCATTTATTGAACAGACTTTCTTTTCACCAGTGTATGTTTTTGGTACCTTTGTCACAAATCAGTTCACTGTAAGTATGTGGATTTGTTTCTGGGTTCTCTATTCTGTTCCCATTGGTCTGTGTGTCTGTGTTTATACCAGTACTATGTTGTTTGGGTTACTATAGCTCTGTACTATAATTTGAAGCCAGGTAATGTGATTCCTCCAGTTTTGTTCTTTTTGCTTAGTATAGCTTTGGGTATTCTGGGTCTTTTGAAGGTCCATACAAATTTTAGGATTTTTTTTCTATTTCTGTGAAGAATCTCATTGGTATTTTGACAAGGATTGAATTAAATCTGCAGATTACTTTGGGTAGTATGGACATTTTAACAATACTGATTCTTTCTATACATGTTCATAAACATGGGTTATTTTTCCATTTCTTGTGTCCTCTCAATTTCTTTCATCAGTTTTTTATAGTTTTTATTGTAGAAAGCATTCACTTATTTGGTTCATTCTTAAGAATTTTATTTGTGGCTATTTTAAGTAGAATAACTTTTTAATTTTTGTTTTTCACATTGCTTACTATTGGTGTATAAAAATGTTACTCATTTGGGTACGTTAATTTGGAATCCTTCAATTTTCTGAATTGGTTTATCAATTGCAATAGTTTTCTTGTGGAGTCCTTAGGTTTCTCCAAATGTAAGATAATATTCTTTGTAAACAAGAATAATTTTCTTTCTTTCTTTTCAATTTGGATGCCTTTTGTTTGACTTCCAGGATGAAAGTAACCATCCTTGTCATGCTCTGGAACTTAGGGGAAAGGCTTTCTTTTTTCCCCATTCAGTATGATACAAGCTGTAGGTCTCTCATATATGGCTTTTATTACATTGAGGTATGTAGCTTCTATACCCAGTTTTTAAGGGATTTTATGATGAAGCAATGTTAAATTTTATCAAATATTTTTCCAGCATCAGTTGAAGTGATCATATGGTTTTGTTCTTTTATTCTGTTTATATGATGTATCACATTTATTTACATATGTTGAGTCATCCTTGCATCCCAGAGATAAATTCCACTTGGTCATGATGAATGATCTTTCTGATGTATTGCTGAATTCAGTTGGAAAGTATTTTGTTCTGGATTTTTGCATCAATATTCATCAGGGATATTGACTTGTAGTTTTCATTTTTTCGATGTATCTTTGTTTGGTTTTTATGTCAGATTAATACTGGCTTTAAAGAATGATTTTGGAAGTATTCTCTTCTCTTCTATTTTTCAGAATAGTTTGGGTAGGATTGGTATTAGTTATTCTTCAAATGTTTGGTTGAATTCAGCAGTGAAGCCACTGGGTCCTGAGCTTTTCTTTACTGGTAGACTTTTTATTATGGCTTTGGTCTTGTTACTTGTGATTGGTGTATTTAGTTTTTGGATTTCATCCTGGTTCAATCTTGGTATATTGAATGTGTCTAGGAATGTGTCCATTTCATCCCAATTTTTGGAATATAGCTGCTCTTGTTTAGCCACTGATGATTTTTGAATTTCTGCAGTATTAGTAGTAATGTCTCCTTTTTCATTTCTGATTTTATTTATTTGTATCTTCTTTCTTTTTCTTAGTCTGGCTAAAGGCTTTCCAATTTTATTTAACTTTTCAAAAAACCAACTTTTTGTTTCATTGATCTTTTCCATGGTTTTCTTCATTTCAAATTTACTTTTTTCCCCTTTGATCTTTATTACTTTTTTCTTCTACTAATCTAGGGTTTCATTTGTTGTTGCTTTTCTAGTTCTTGAAGATACATCATTAGATTGTTTATTTGAGGGTTTTTTTTTTTTATGTAGGTACTTAATAGCTATCAGCTGCCCTCTTAGTTCTGCTTTTGCTGTGTCCTATAGGTTTAGGTATGTTGTGTTTCTATTATCATTTGTTTTAAGAAGTTTTTAAATTTTCATCTTAATTTCTTCATTGACCGACTGTACAATCAGGGGCATGTTGTTTAATTTCCATGTATTTTTATAGTTTCCAAAATTCCTCTTGTTAATTTCTGTTTTATTCCATTTTGTTAAGAGAAGATGGCCGATATTATTTCAAGTTTTTTGAATGTTTTAAGACTTGTTTCGTGACCTAACATATGGCCTATTCTTGAGAATATTCCATGTACTGAGGAGAATGTGTATTCTGCAGCTGTTGCATGAAATGCTCTGTAAATAACTTTTAGATCAATTTTGGTCTACAGTGCAGATAAAGTCTGATGTTTCTTTGACGATTTTCCATCTGGAAATGTGTGCAGTGCTGAAAGTGAGGTGTTGAAGTCTTCAGCTATTATTGTATTGGGGTCTATCTTTCTTTTAAGCTCTAATATTTTCTTTATATATCAGGGCTTTCCACTGTTGGGAGCATATATATTTAAAATTATTATATCCTCTTGCTGAATTGACCATTTTATTATGTAATCAACTGACTTGTCTCTTCTTATAATTTTTGTCTGGAAATCTGCTTTGTCTGATATAAGTGTAGCTATTCCTGATCTCTTTTTTTGTTTCCATTAGCATGGAATATCTTTTTAAATTATTTTTTTTAATCTTCAGTCTATGTGTGTCTTTATAGGTGAAGTGTGTTTCTTGAGGGCAACAAATCAATAGATCTTGTGCTTTTATTTATCCAACCAGTCTATGTCTTTTGATTGGAGAATTTGATCCATGTACATCAATATTATTGATAAGTAAGAACTTACTCTTACCATTTCATTGTTTTTTCTTGTTGTTTTGTGGTGTTCACTTCTTTTTCTCACTGTCTTCCTGTAGTGAAGATGCTTTTCTATGGTGATATGATTTGTTTTCTTTTTCTTTTTTTGTGTATTCATTGTATGTTTTTGGGTTGAGGTTACCATGAGGTTTGCAAATACTATCTTATATAAGCCACTATTTTAATCTGATAAAAACCTACCACTGTTTGCACAAACAAGCAAAAGCAGAAAGAAAACTAACTAAAGTTCTATGCCTTAATTTGTCACTCTGCTATTTAACTTTTTTGGTTTATATTTTTATCTTATTGTACTATGTATGTCTTGAAAAGTTGTATTATTTTTGATTCATTGTTTTTTTTTTCTACTTAGGATAAGAGTAGTTTACATACCACAGTTACAGTGTTAAAATATTCTGTGTCTTTCTTTTTACTTACTATTACCAGTGAGCTTTGTACCTTTAGGTGATTACTTATCGCTCACTAACATTCTGCTCTTTCTGATTGAAGCACTCTCTTTAGCATTCCTTATAGGATAGGTCTGGTGTTGATGAAATTCCACAGCTTTTCTTTTTCTGGAAAAATCTTTATTTTTCCTTCATGTTTGAAGGATATTTTTGCCAGATATATTATTCTAGGGTAAAAGTTGTTTTGTTTTTATTTCCTTAAACACTTCAAATATGTCGTGCCACTGTCTCCTAGCCTGTAAGATCGCCACTAAAAAGTCTGTCATCAGATGTATTACAGCTCCATTGTGTATTATGTGTTTCTTTTTTTTCTTTTTTTTTTTTTTTTTTTGCTTCTTTTAGTATCCTTTTTAAATACTTGATCTTTGGGAGTTTGATTATTAAATGCCACAAAGTCTCTTATGCTGTCTCACTGTTTTTTTTTAATTCATTTTTTCTTTTTGCTTCAAGATTGAATGATTTCCAGTGGCTTAGCTTTGAGTGTACTGATTTCTTCTGTTTAGTTTGTTGTTAAAACTCTCTATTCAGTATCTCAGTTTATTTATAGAATTCTTCAAGTCTATGATTTCTGTTTGGTACATTTTTATAATTCCTATCTCTTTATTTAAATTGTAGGTTTGTTGCTACATTGCTCTCCTTACCTCTATAAGCCCCTTTATTACCATTATTTTGAATTCTTTCTTGGATATATCACATATCTCCACTTCATTCAGCTCAGTTGCTGGAGAATTAGCCTTTTTTTGTAGGTAAATTTTTATTTGATATATTAATCCTTGTTTCTTCATTTTCTTTTATTTGCCTTCTCTTTATTTTCCAACTCTTCATGTTGGTTTCTGTGCATTATATAACACAATGCCTCTCCCAGGCTTGTCAGACTGCCCTGGTATAGAAGAAAGATTTCATGAATCTTTTCTGGTCATTGTTTTAAGGTGCCTCTCAAATGTTTGTGTTTATACAAACCGCTATCTCTGTTTTTGGTGATTCCCTAGAGATTACAATGTGCCATGTCCTGTGAGTATTTCTAAGATCAATAAGGCAGAAGCCAGACCCTTTAGATGTAACTGGAAAGGTTGGGGTGTTGAACATTCCATTTCCTTCTATCCTCCTCATAAAACTAATATGGGTGTTTATGTCCCAATCTCTCTATGCTAATCTACTAAACTAATTTAAAGAGATGATCTGTGACTAATGTCTGTGCTTGAGTTAAGGCTTCACCCTCTGATTCTGGGGAGATAGCTGCTGGAAGCAGGCCCACTGTATGCCCATCTTTTTGGTTTTCTGGGGTTTAGGGCTACTCAGGAATGGAAAGCACCATTAACTCCCAGATTTACACTATTGAGGAGACAGACTTTGGGGTGGGATCTTTAAAAGTTGTGGCAGTGGGTGCATAAACAAACTTTTTCCAGGAAGAATGGGTAGACCTGGATTTATCACTGGGGCAAGCTGGAAGAAAAGTTTAGGAAGTGCTGAGCTCTGGCTCAAGCTGCCATGTGGCTACTGTTTGTATGTCCCACTTAGCTCCCCAATGAAAGTTTGTTAGAAGCCAGTCCATCAAGTAGGTACTGTATTCCATTGTCTTTTCTGCATTGCTCCCAGAGGGTGTGGCATCTGAAAGCACTTGCACACCCATTTAAAACCAACTTTATGTCTTGTGACATAAGGAGACTTACATTTGCCTAATATTTCCTGTTTCCAGAGTCCTTCAGGTGTTGCAGGAAGTCAGGGACCCCAAACGGGTCTCTTAATACTGTTATCTTCATAAGCTGAGGATGTACATCACCTCAGGACCCTGTGATGATTGCGTTAACTGTACAAATTGATTGTAAAACATGTGTTTGAACAACATGAAATCAGTGCACCTTGAAAAAGAACAGAATAACAGCAATTTTCAGGGAACAAGGGAAGACAACCATAAGGTCTGACTGCCTGCGGGGTCGGGCAGAATAGAGCCATATTTTTCTTCTTGCAGAGAGCCTATAAACAGACGTACAAGTAGGAGAGATATCATGAAATTCTTTTCCTAGCAAGGAATATAATATTAAGACCCTAGGAAAAGAATTGTATTCCTGGGGGGAGGTCTATAAGTGGCCGCTGTGTGAGTGCCTGTTCTATGTGATTGAGATAAGGACTGAGATACGCCCTGGTCTCCTGTAGTACCCTCAGGCTTACTAGGATTGGGAAGCCCCAGCCCTGGTAAATTTGAGGTCAGACTGGTTCTCTGCTCTCGAACCCTGTTTTCTGTTAAGATGTTTATCAAGACAATACGTGCACCACTGAACATAGACCCTTATCAGGAGTTTCTGATTTTTGCCCTGGTCCTGTTTCCTCAGAAGCATGTGATCTTTGCTCTGCCTTTTGCCCTTTGAAGCATGTGATCTTTGTGACCTACTCCCTGTTCATACACCCCCTCCCCTTTTGAAGTCCTTAATAAAAACCTGCTGGTTTTGTGGCTCAGGTGGGCATCACAGACATACCGATACATGATGTCACCCCCGGTGGCCCAGCTATAAAATTCCTCTCTTTATACTCTTTCTCTTTATTTCTGAGACTGGCCGACACTTAGGGAAAATGGAAAGAACATACATTGAAATATTGGGGGTGGGTTCCCCTGATACTCAGGTAGTAATTGTAAAAGCTGGACTGTTCAATATATGGATAAACCCCTTCTGGAGAGAAGTAAGAAACTTCATTTTTAGAGTTCCCTCTCTGCATTGTTCCTTGAGGATGAAGCCTCTGAAAGTGCTTATACATCTATATAAACGGTTGCTCTTTGCTGTGGTCTAGAGAAATTTGTGTATACCTAGTTCCCTCTGCTCCCAGAGGTATGAGATTTAAGATGCAGTTTATGGGGTGGAAGATATAAAAGTTGAAGTGCTCAATATATGGACAAACTCCTTCCAGAAAAGATTAATAAACCTGGAGCTATTGTTGGGGCAAGCCAAGGAGAAGGCTCAGGATGGGGCAATCTGCTTCTCAGTTGGCTACTATTTGCCCCTTCAACTCTCCTATGTAAGTCAGTTAGAAGCCAGGCTGCCAGGCAGAGACTGGAAGAGTGCACTTCTCCCAGAGAATGAGGCTCCTGGAAGTACTTCCACTCACATAGAAAACTGCTGTTTTTTCCTGTGGGCTATAGAGACTTACATATGCCTAATCGTCTCCATTCCCAGGGTTGCTGAATTAAGGGCCAAACTGTGGGGAACCTTAGAGTTAGGGCACTGTATGTAAGGTTCAAATCTTTCTCTCCACATGGAGAAGCTGGGGTGTTGGGCTCCTCTTTCCTGGTTGTATAGCTCTTTGTCTGGAGCAAGGTCTGTGTCTGAGGGTGACAGATTTTTCTACCCATCTGGTGTAGATTTTTTTAGTTGTCCTGTGAGTAGGAGTCTCCCAACTGGTTTTTTACTTTTTCTCAGAGAGAGATGATTTATGAATAGAAGGCTATTTGATGAATTCATGGATAGAGAGACAGGGGCCTCCTATTCTATCATGTCACTGAGTTCAACCCCTTTAAAAGGATAACTTATGACAGTCATAAATGAGAAGCACATATTGCTGTATGGCATAAAATATTCAGAAATAAATATAACTACTCTTGCACTCTTTTGGTTTCCATTTACATGGGTACTTTTTTTATTTCTTCACTTTATGAGTGTCTTTTCAGGCAAAGTAAGTCTAATAGGCAGCATAATTCTTTTTTTAAAAATCTATTCTTTTGCTCTATGTAGTTACAGATATGCAAAGACTTACTAGTACCATTTTGTTGTTTTCTGATTGTTTTGTAGATTATTACTTGCTTCCTTTCTCTCTGGGTTAGTATTCATCATCAAGCATATTTATAGTCACCTGCAATGTGTCATACAAAATTCAAGGCACTGTTTATATAGCCATAAATAAATAAAAGCTCCCTGCTTTTGTGAAGCTTATATTCTCATCGTCAATATAGATAATAAAAGATAAGCATCTAAAGTATTAGGTAGTAATGAACAAAATGAAGGGGAGCCTGACTCAAATAGGTGCTATTTTTAAGGATGACCAAAGAAGATAGAATTAGTCATGTGAGTATGTGGAAAAGAGCACTTCAGAGGAAGCAAATATTCAAGCCTTGATATTGGAATGTGCTTGGCATTGAATGTAATTGGCATACAAAATGAACAAATGAATGAAAGAATGAATTATTCAGTTATTTTAGCTGTGATTCTAGGGTTGCATAAGTTTTATTGATCAGCTCCATAGAGGGATGTCCTATTAGCTAGCTCCAGGCTTATAATAATTGAGTACCTATCATTTGCTAGGCACTTTTTCCAACTTATTTGAAATTCTCATCACAAATCTAAGATTTTGTTATTATGCTTTTCCCTTTTCCTGATAAGGGAACTGAAACTGAGATGCTAATATATTTCTCCATAACTGCATAATCCAGGATTCAAACACAGCCATATATTGTTCTATATCCAAAACTCTTTCTACCATGTCTTATTGCCTTTTATGACCAGTGAAGATAAAAGAATGTACATTTCCATTAGACAAAAAAGTAAGAGGTGTCCCAGTTATGTACTCCTAATAAAAAGTAGAATTTTATATGTGAACTTTCTTCACATATTAAAAAATATAAATTAAATTTTAACATAATTAACTAATCCTTGCTAAGCTTGACAAAGGAATATAATGTCAAATATGATTTTAATGCAGATACCTATGATTTATCTACTAGGAATTTTCAACAGTAACTGTTACCATTTACATTTACCTTTAATGTTCTTATTAAGACTATTAAGCATTCTCTATTTTTAGGGATGTACCACTCTTCAGTATTAATTATAGTTTAAGATAATATTTCAGAAGTTTACATTTAATACTAAAATTTACCTAATACCTATTTCCAATCAATAGATGACTATTACCTTTAAATTCCAATCACTCTATCTGGAACCTACTTAGTTCTCTCCTGATGATCTCGAGGGAACTGAATGAAGTACTTTTCCTTGCTGGTAAAAAGTTATCTTTTTTTCCTGAGCATTACTACATTTCTCTCATAGTTACTCATTTTTGCTGTTTATGTTAAGAAATCTCAGACACCTAAGACTCATCTAACTCTTACCTAATGGACTCACTTTGTCAGTCAAATCATACTCTGAAAAAGAGTCATTTATATTATTCCTCATGTCCTCCTCAACTTCCCCCTCCCTCTTCATTAACTGAAATATTTGCATTGAAATAATTTATTTTATTCAACAGAGTTTGACAACATTGCAACTTTGCAATTAAGACCCAGGACTTTGATATCAGACCTGGGTTGAAATACCAGCTTCTGCTCTCATAAGACTTGTATATAAGACTTCAACTTATCTGTTTAAGCCTTTGATTCTCAACTGCAAAGTAGAAATTATATTTCATGCCACATAAAATTGGGTAGAGATGAATTTTTTTAAGTAAATTGCTTAAGAAATTTCTGTTCTGTTCTAAATGTGAACAAATATGCATAAATTTTTTTCTTTTAAATACAGTATTTTGACATATAAAATATTATGCAAAATATTGATTAAATTGTGTTGACACTGTGATTTTAATCAGAAAGCTCCTGGTGTAGTCAGGAGAGTTTAGATTTAAAATCAAACAGTTTTAGGTTTTATCCTATCTAGCTGTGTGCCCTCCAGGAAAGTGTTAAATCTCTGTGAACCTTTGTCTTTTCCTCATTTCTAAAATGCCCTGATTATTTATGGTGATGAATTTATATAGTATATTTAAATCAAGAAACATACAGAGGTCTCTCTCTCTCTCTCTTTCTCTCTCTCTCTCACACACACACACACACACACACACACCACATACACACAAATTTACAAAATGGAAGGAGTTAATCAAGAAAATATAAGAAATTACCAAATTATGAAATTAGAGAAAGTAAGAAAGGAAGGACAAAAGGTTGACTTTTCCATGCAAAATAGACAAAAGCACAACATCCAAACCAAGATATACTGCTACAGATACCATCAGAATAAATTTAAAAGTCATAAAAGACCACTTTGCTCAACTATAATTTATGAGACCTGTATGAAATGGATAGACAAACTGATTATATGCAGTATTTTCCAGGCTGAGGGGAAACATATATTTATTCATTACTGATGGGAGTATAAAGTAGTATAACCTTTATGGACAGCAATTTGGCAATCTACTAAATTTTATAATTCACATACACTTTGACTCAACAAATCCACGTCTTGAGATTTATCCTACAAAACTCTTACATGTGTGACATGATGTACATATATGTAGAGAAAGCAATTTAAATAGGGATTTTCTATATAATGTTGGGGTCCTACAAAGAAATACTAGGCTGGTGCTAAAAGAAGAATGAAGTAATTCCATATATGTTGATATAGAGTACAATATATGTTGCTTAGTGAAAAGATCAAATTACAGGGCAAGAACATAGTATGCCTCCAAAAAAATAGTAAAATTTCGTATGTCTGTATACACAAACACACACTGAGACTTTTTCTGGAAAGTTATTTAATAAATTGACAACAGTGTTTGCCTTTAAGTAAAATTACTAAGTACCTCGAAAACAGGTTAAGTTGGGATAATTTCTTTCCACTGCATTATTTTGAATTTTGTATATTTTTTTGTTTTACAGATTTCAAAACTATAATACATTTTTAAAATTATACAGTAGTTATTTTGGTTCAGAGACTTAAACACTGCATTTTCTTTCTCAGATTTTCACTCAGTACATTAGCATATCAGGAGGTCTAGGATTCAACTAAAGATAATAACTTATGTTGTACCTTATACAGAACGTTATACTAGACCCTGGATTTATAAGCAGGAGCAACAGTGACTCAGCCACCACTCTCAGAAAGCTTGTTCTTCAGCTGGGAAAGCAAATAATAATCATATAAATAGTTTTATTTTTGAAACAGGGTCTTACTTTTTTGCCTAAATAAATATTTTAAACTTAGTTTTATATAGCATATTTTTAAAATTATTTGATTAACTATTTTTAATGTGTATCACGTTTAACAACCCTTGAAACACACTTTAAGAAATACTATGCTATAGTACTTTCTTCTTCCCTACCAGTGAGATCTTTCACAAAGAAAAGATTGACCAAACTAGAAAGAGAAACAAAAGAAGGAAGAGAAGGAGGAATATAGGTTTAATATATCCTTAACCAAAAAAAAAAAGAAAGATAGAAACTTATTAAACTTGTGGTAACATATTCAACCTAAGACACAATTCATCATTGATACCCTATAGAATTAAGTTTAAATAATGTTATGCAAAACATTTCTCTAGCACTGAGTAAATGGCTAATAAATATGAGCTATTATTGAAATAACTGTTCAAGTATCCTCATAAAATGTATAGATAAATCTGAATAAATAATATGAATAATGGTATTTGAGTCCAAGACCATATGTATCCAAGAAAGTGTTACACAGACATAGAGATCAAAGATAAAAGGCAAAAGGCATGTAATTAATGCTGTGGTTATATTAACCAAACCCTTTTCATAATTCCTTTTCTTAGGCCAACCTCTAGTAAAATTTGTCTAGAAGTGGCCACATGGCCCAGTTCCAGCCAGTACAGTGGGAATCTCTGGGTAAAGCTTCCAGGAAGGAAACCTTTGTGTTGTTGTTGTTTTTGTTCATTTGTTTGTTTGTTTGTTTTTTGAGATGGAGTCTTGCCCTGTTGCCCAGGCTGGAGTGCGGTGGCGCAATCTTGGCTCACTGGAACCTCTGCCTCCCAGGTTCAAACGATTCTCCTGCCCCAGCCTCCTGAGTAGCTGGAATTACAGGAATGTGCCACCATGCCTGGCTAATTTTTTTTTTTGAGACACAGTTGCACTCTTGTTGCCCAGGCTGGAGCGCAATGGTGCGATCTCAGTTCACTGCAACCTGCACCTCCTGGGTTCCAGTGATTCTCCTGCCTCAGCCTCCCAAGTGGCTGGGATTACAGGCACCCGTCACCACACCTGGCTAATTTTTGTATTTTTAGTAGAGATGGGGTTTCGCCATGTTGGCCAGGCTGGTCTCGAATTCCTGATCTCAAGCTGCCCACCTCAGACTCCCAAAGTGCTGGGACTACAGGCATGAGCCACCATGCCTGGCCTGTATTTTTAGTAGAGATAGGATTTTGCCATGTTGGCCAGGCTGGTCTCAAACTCCTAACCTGAAATTATTCGCCCACCTTGGCCTCCCAAAGTGCTGGGAACCACCACCATGCCTGGCCGGGAAGCCTTCTTAGAAGAAAGAGGCTTGTTAGGCCTTCCTCTTTTGCCCCCTTTGCCTTTTTTTTATTTTTTCTTGCTAGGAGCATATAAATAAGTACAGCAATCATCTTGCAACTTGGGCTGGGCGTGGAAAGACATATGCTAGAAATGGCACTCCAAATATTAAAAAGTCTCTGGTTTCTGATAGCCTCATGAAGCTCGTACACTAGCTCTGGTCTGTTACTGACAGATTTCTTATTAAGTGAGAAAAATAAATCTATACATGTTAGTTGGCTTTCTGTTATTTGCAATGAAATGCATTCCTGACAAAAAGAGAAATGGAACTCTGAGAAACATTTTTACAAAACTGCATGTTACAGGAAAAGCAAGGCTAATATAAATATAAGTAAGCATAGTCATGAGATATCATAGTTCAAAATCTATATTAAAAATAGTCCAGAGATAATGCTCTTTGCATATAATATGCATTCCTTTGCTAATGGGTAAAAAGGGTTTCATTTAATTTTCCATAACAGAATAGTGGTCAGGGAACATTGAAGTGGTCCTTGAACAGTGAGGGACAATAGATCATAAACTCCTACTTTTTAATAGATGAATTATCCACATTTAACCCAAAGAGATAACCTAAGTATTTGAAAATTAAATCAAAAGCACTGTGACTTTCAACTATTTTGTTTTGTCTTTTAATCAAGCCTGTAGACAGGTTTCTTAGGCATATGGTTACATCCTACGTGCTGAAAGAATGCAAAGTCATTACTCAAAGAGTGCCATTTTGTTCCCTGAGACTATAGGTTCCTGCAGCATAGGGCCATTGGGATTTACTGATTTAGAAAACAAACATTATTGAATATTACATAGAGTACTTTGTTGAGAGCTGGGAAAGAGAATACAGGGATGACTAATTTATGGTAACCGTATACAAAGGAAGTTTCAGGGCTGGGCACAGTGGCTCATGCCTGTAATCCCAGCACTTTGGGAGGCCGAGGAGGGTGTATCACTTCAGCCCAGGAGTTTGAGACTGGTCTGAGCAACATGATAAAACCTTGGCTCTACAAAAATAATCCAGAAAACTAGCCAGGTGTGGTGACGTGTGCCTATAGTCCCAGCTACCTGGGAGGCCGCAGTGGGAGAATCACCTGCGCCAAGGAAGTTGAGGCTGCAGTGAACACTGACTGTGCCACTGAACTCCAGCCTAGGCAAAAGAGTAAGACCCCAACTCAATAAATTAATGTAAGTAAGTTTCAGTCCAGTAGGAGAGCCAGACACTCACAGAAATTATACAAAAATGTGATCTAAAGAAGGTAAGAGTACCAAAATCAAGACACAATAGTCCAAGCACCATTTATGAATTGTTCACTTGCTTTGGGAGTGATGGTAGAGGGCTGTCAAATATCTGGCCAAGATCAATTGTGCTGCTGCTCAATCCCAGAATCACTGACATCAAGGAAGGATGTGTCTTCCTTCTCATACCCCACCACCTCTACGCGCTCTAAGGAGACTATTTTGTGAGTGGGAGGCAGGGGTTGGACTTCAAGGCCTTAAAAGTGTCTTCTACTTCTATCTTCTTGTTTGAGAGTTCTGTAAACTCAACAGGGCCAGCTGTTGATTCCACATACAGGTGAATGTCCTAAAGGAATAATTTTCTCTCTCCTTTCCCCCACCTAGAGAAGAGTTTGTCAAACACGTGAGTACTTCCATGTTGTCTCTGCATTATCTCCCTTCCAGTCTTGTCTTCTGTATTAATATTTACCTTATTCTTAGTTTATTTTTTGTTATTCAAATCTAGTGGTTGAAATAAAAACTATCCCTCCTGCAGCTGTCTGTATGCTTCTATGGCTGCCCTTTCATTCTCCACATATTTGAATTTTTTGACATAAAATATACTTTATTTGTAGCCCTTTTAGACCTTTAGTTTCCCATCTGCAAGGGCTGATATTCCCACCACCATCTTTGAAGTTTATGCCTTGCCACTTTACCTCCTTTTACCATTTCGTAACAATTGTATTCCTCAGTGGGGCATAGCAGTGGGCTCCCATTTCTCCCCTCTACTGGTATAGCAGTCTGGGAGCTTTGATGGAAAAGGAGAGGGTGCTTCAGGGTTTCAGTGCATGATCACCCGACACCTTACAAATTATTTGATCTCTTTTCCTCCCACGCTCTGACATTTACTTAGTGATTCACTCTCCAGACAGTGTCAAATCCCAGATCCACCACACATCAAAGGATTTAACCTCCAACATGCCACTTTCTCATTATGATTGTTAATCCCTATATATTTTATGCTGGACTGCAACTAAATGTGTTCTTCAGTCTCATTAATCTCTACATTTTCTTGAATAACTTTTCTCAGAGCTTATTAATCCTTTTCACTTCATTGGTATTCCAATACAGCAGTGTTACACACCCAGTTAAAAATACATTATTAAAAGTACTTTCTAACTCTCTAGTCAGCACTCTCAACATCTTTGGCAACTTATCTTCCTTCTAATCTTAAATTGCTATAAATTTCTGAATTTTCTAATTTCTACACATGCTCAGAGCTGCTGGAAAAAAAGTATATGAAGTCTAGTACCAAAGTATCTTAGATGTCAACCACCCTCTTTCCACCCCACTACACGAACACTTAGCAGCAGACTGAATCTCTGCCTAGCTATTTGTCTTATTCTCCACAGCTATTTCTAAGAAAATAATATTTCTCAATATTCTTAGCCTGTTTGTCTTATTCTGGTTGGGCTGTTGTAAAGCAGTGTCATAGATTGGGTAGCTTATAAACAACAGATTTTTTTTTTATATTACCGGAGGCTTGGAAATTCAAGATCAAGGTGCAAGCAGATTTGGTATCTGGTGAGGGCCCTTTCATAGATGGTATCTTCTCACTGTATCCTTACATGGTGGAAGCAGCAAGAAAGTTTTCTGGGGCCTCTTTTACAAGGGCACTAATCCCATTCATGAGGGATCTGCCCTCATGACCTAATCACTTCCCAAAGCCACACCTCCTAATACCATCACATTGGTGATTAGGTTTCAACATATGAATTGTGAGGGCAAACATCAGACTGTAACACTGCACTAGCCCCAATGTCTTTTTTTCTCTATTAATAGAAAAGCTTGCCTTTTGCTCTCAGAAAAAAAGTTTAAGTAATCAGTATCTGCCTCTTTTATTTAACCAACTACAATTTGTTATCTCTATGCACCATATTTTATCACCATCTTTCTCAGGGAAAAAAGTCCCTCTGCTTATCTAACACTAATTGTGGTATCTGAGTCAGAGCTTCTCAAACTTTAATGTGTTTATAAAGTACCTGAGGATCTTGTTCAATGCAGATTCTGATTCAGTAGGTATGGAGTAAAACCTGAGATTCTAAAAAATTCCCAGCAGTGTACGTGCTCCTGGGCCACCAACGATACCAACACAGTAATAATTACTTTTCCTAGAGGAAGTGGCTCATGAAGGCAAAAGTGACTGGGACCTAGGAAAGTGATTGTGTAGCCCTAATCCTAGTCTCCCAATCCATAACAACTGGGAAATTCTCTCATGATTCTTCGTTGCCTAATGATTGCTCTAAAATAAAATGCTGATGCTATTTTTTTCTGTTTAAAATCCTCCAGGACTTTGACTATCATACAGACAAAAAGGTTAAACACTACCTCTTTCATGACCAATGCATTACAGATCTTGCTAGTTTCCCTTCCCTTTATATATCTAGTGATCTTTCTAGGCTAAATTACTGTCAATTTTCTCGTGCTTGATATTCCGTGTTATATCTACAGGGACTTTTCTGATTGGGAAAACCACTTCTCCCCAGTTAGCATAATTTTTTATTCGCCCACCTTAAAAACTTTCCCCATCTCCATCATGCAAATATAGTAAGTATATATAACTACTTATATAGGAATCTTCTCATAGTAACTACACAATTCAGACGTATAACTCACCATATGATTTTGTGTCTACTTATATTTTTGTGTATCTCAGTTTAGACTGTGGGCTCCTAGAGAGTGGGAACTTTGTCTTCAATTCATATGTCTCCATTGCCTGGCAAAAATAGGTATTTAACTAATGTTTGTTGGATCTTCGAATACATGAATTAGTGACTTGAGTATACACTTTAGATACACATTTTATTAAAATGCAAATAATAGCAACCATACTTAAAAGTGACATAATAATTTTAGCCCACATTCCCTATTCATTTCTGATTCTGGTTATAATCCGTCACTCTACTTCTGAATGATCAAAAGAGCACATAAAGGAATATTAATTTGACATAAAAAGAGATATGTTAATTATGAAATATATTTTGGTCAATGCCAATGTATACAATACATGATGTTAAATATGCAATATTAACCCCAAATTAATAGAAAATATTTGCTTATTTAAGAAATTACCTTGTTAAAATATCTCAAGGATTTTTTTTAGCTCTGCCCTACATTGGAAACCTAAATAATTTTTGAAAGTGCCCACAGGCTCAGAGATTCAATAAAGTTAAAAATTCTCCATATAAATAATCTTAAAACTAAAATAGTGTTTTTAAATGAAGCTAAATGAATAATAGAGAAAACATCATAACATTTTCTTTACCACTTTTCTTCTGTGATCACCGATAAGTCATAAAATTAGTTAGGTAAGGTATTGGCATGAAAAATGAAATTATCAAAACATACCACAAATATGTTTCAATTAAATATATTTAGTTCATCACTTTTATCTACTATAATTTTGGATTACAGTCATTCATTCATTATTTCAAGAAATATTTACTCAGTGCCTACTATATGCCTGGCACTGTATTGTGTGTGGGAACACTGCAGAGTGAAACAAGAAATTTGCAATTTAGCAGAACATGTAGACAAAAATAAGTGAGTGTTACGAACTGAATGTGTTCCCTCAAAATTCATATGTATAAGTTCCAACGTTCAATGTGACTATATTTTGAGACAAGGCTGTTAATAGAGGTACTTAAAGTTTAGTAATTTAGAAGGATGGGGCCCTGATCCAATAGGATTAGTGTCCTTATAAGCCCAGACACCGTAGACCTCCTGTGCTCTCTCTCCATCATGAGAGGACGCATCAAGAAAGCAGCTGTCTGCAAGCCAGTAAGAGAACCCTAACCAGAAATCAACCCTGCCAGACCTTGATCTAAGAATTCTAGCCTCCAGAAATGTGAGAAAAAGGTATTTCTGTTGTTTAAGCAAACCTGTCCATAATATTATGTTAGCTCGAGAACATTAATGCAGTGACTATGAAGGATATGAAAGAGGTATGCATGACACCACTTTCAACAAGAATGCTGAGACAATTTAATGGGAAAAAAATCATTTTCAACAAATGGTGCTAGGACAACTGGATATATTCATGCAACAGAATAAAGGTACCGTATGCATTCCTTCATACCATATGCAAAAATTAACTCAAAATGGGTCAAATATCTAAGCATGGGTCATAAACTATAAAACTCTCAGGAGAAAACATAGCTGTATAATGTTTATGATCTAGAATCGGCAATGGTTTCTTAGATGGGGCACCAAAAGCAACACCAACAAAAGAATAAATAGATAAATTGAGCATCATCAAAATTGGAAATGTTGTACTTCAAAGAAAATTATCAGGAAAATGAAGGGACAACCTGCAGAATTGGAGAAAGTATTTGTAAATCATGTAATATGGGCCTATTATCCAGAATATGTTAAAAACTCTTACCACTGACCAATATAAAGACAAGCAATTCAATTAAAAATGTATAAAGTATTTGAATACATGTTTCTTCAAAGAAAATGTGCAAATGCAAATAAGCACACTAAAATATATCAATATAATTCATAATTTGGGAAATGCAAATTAAAACTAAAATGAGATACCACTTCATACCCACTAGGATGGCTATTATCAAAAACAGGGATGATCACAAGTATTGGTAAGGATGCAGAGAAATTAAAACCCTAATATGTTGCTGGTAGATGGTAAAAGAATTCAGTAGTTTTGAAAAACAATGAAAGTTTATCAAGAAGTTAAATATAGAGTCAGTACACACTCCAGCAATTATAGTTCTAGGTATATACATAAGAAAGTTGAAAATATGTGTCTACACAAAACCTTGTACATGAATGTTCATTGTAGAATTATTACTAATAGCCAAAAAGTGAAAACAATCCAATGTCTTTCAATTGATGAATGAACGAACAAAATGGACTATGTAGTAAATAGAATATATAAGAATAGAGTAGCATATTATTTGCCCATAAAAAGGAATGAAGTGCTATAACATGTTACAACATGGATGACTCTTAAAACATGATAGTAAGTGAAAGAAGACAGACACAAAAGATCACATATTGCATGGCTTCATTTATAAAACATGTCCAAAATAGGCAAGAGGGACAAAATGTAGATATTTGATTGCCAAGGGCTAAGGGAAGGGGAGAATTAGGCATGAGTGCTAATTATTTTTTTAGGTGATAAAAATGTACTAGAATTAAATGACAGTAGTGGTTATGCAACACTGGGCAATATATAAAACTGAATATACTAAAGTGAATATACTGAATATCACTGAATTATACATTTTAAAATATCTAATTTTATGGTACATGCATAATGTTAGCTCGAGAACATTAATGCAGTGACTATGAAGGATATGAAAGAGGTATGCATGACACCGCAAGCATGACGGGAAAGAGATGACGGGGCACAGCATGTCTTATCATTTGGCGTACTACACTGTGGTGGGGAGAAACTGCTAAAAGACAATTTAAAAAGGTAAGTAGGCACACAGTCATGCAAAGACCTTATAAAGCAAGTATTTCTAGACTCTTATAAAACATGAAAAGGTATTTAGCAGATGGGTGACTTCATTATATTTGGAAATGGGTAACTCTCATGATAAGAATACTAAATCTTTTAGAATAACACCGCCAAAATTCAGGCAGGAGAGCTTATACTTGGTAAATGGCACTGGAACTTGAGAAAAAATGCTTTTATAAGTATTAAGATGAATACTTATTACTAAAGAAAATTTCAATGTTTATATCCAGTAGAAAAACTATGCATTCCATTTCCAGACTTCACAATTGATCATTATTCCATGAAGATGCTTATAATGGTCTCTATATTTAACATGATTATGAAAAAAATAAATTGTACACATTTTTTCCCACCTCCTACAATCCAAGTCTCCAAAACTCCTGAACTTGAATTTTAAATGCCTAAATGTCACCACCAAAAGGAAAAATAAGTTCTTTTTTTTATTATTATACTTTAAGTTTTAGGGTACATGTGCACAACATGCAGGTTAGTGCAAAATAAAAGGAATATATATATGTGTATAATAACATACTGATAAATGTTTCAGTAATTGTATTCTAATAATGTAAACCCAATATAAAAATTAATAATTTAATTCAAATAATAAAATAAATGCTGTTTATAGTATAGATTTTTTTAATTACATGAGAAATTGATTATGGGAAAGAAATGTTTGAGGTTGAGGCTAGATCTAGCTGGGATGTGCCTCTTCCACAGAGAGGAACCAAAATATCACGTAAACCTTTACAATTTGAACAATCATTTGAAAGAAAACACAAAAATTTGATAGGCAAGAGAAGACACCTTGGTTGCAGATAAACGTGCAGAACAGTCTACTCAGGGATGATAGGCTCCAGATCTGGGCCCTGAACCCAGAAAAGACCCAAAGAAGGGATGAGTGGAGCAACCTTGGGGCACCACATTCTTGCCACAGGCCTCTGAGATCCTAGCTACAGAAGCTCTCACAAGCCCTCCCACATACCCCACAAAAGACTTTGGACTGGCAGGGAAGCTGCCTAGAGAATACACAGTTGCATTGCTTGAACCCACATGGAGCCCAGAAGGCTTGCTGTGCTGGGCAGCTGCAGAAAAATGGAACCCTTTTTAGGTGCCCACCCCACAAGACTCTCCATCCTGCAATGAACAGCTGCAGTTTCTGCTTCTGCCTGGCAGGAGAGAGAAATGCTCAGGCATGTTCATATGACTAAGACAAGTCAGGTCCCACCACCATTGCTGTGGGACCAAGATGCTTCCAAACAATGCACCCCCTTGCCTGTTGGTCCCTCTCAAGACTGACTTTATGGCTGTTCCCACAGGGTGGGGCCAACAGGATAGCCTCCATTGCCCCATATGAGTGTTTCATTGGTAATCCGGGAGCAGTTCACCCCCCATCACATCACCACTTGTCACTGAAGGGCCAGAGGATAAATCCCCTGGCCTGGACCTAGTTCCCTGGGACTCAAGCACACTGCTCAGTATGAAGATCAAATGTGTGGCCTGATCTCAAGTGGAAGAGTATCCCTCACTTTCAGAACAGAGAGAAGAGTGTGGCACTGGTTCGTATGGTGGTACAGGAGCTGACTATGCCTCCTTTCATGTGATTGGACCAGGAACAATATGATCTGATAGTCAGTTTTCCCCTCAGTGACTCCTGTTGTCTGGAATGCCTGAAGTGGCACAATCTGTGTGCAGATGGCATGGGATAAGCCTAACTGATTGGGCCTGTTGCCAGGGCTGGACTCTGGAGGGAGACCCTCTGGGTTGGGTGTCTGTGAGCTGTGTAGGCCCCACAACTGCCTAATGGGCTGAAAACCCCAGGCTTTGGTCTTCCCCTAAGTGAGCTCTGTGGCACAGGAGTGGTGCCTCCACCCCTCTCTTAAGGGTTGTCCCAGCAGCCAGACAGCTGCCCTTAGAACCTCTGCCAAGGTCAGTTCTTGTGCCCACTTTGAAGAGTCTGGTTGCTAGCTCACCAGACCCAGCCCTGCCCAGCTTTGCCCCCTCTAGTCTCCATGGTAGCACAGTGCAGGATGATACCACCCCAGAAGCCTCATCTCCCAGTCATCACCAATACTTCATCTGAAAAACAAAGGCTAGGTAAAAATCCCATTGACATTAACACCACTGTGTTCACCTGCAAGTGCCACCTACTGGTCAGGAGGTCCACCTGCATGGCCCGTAACTTTTGCTGACATCAGTGTGTGGCACTCAGCTGGCCTTTACCTGCAAACACTACCTACTGGACTGCACGTTGAACTGCATAACCCAATATTTCTCCTAACAGAAGTGCACAGTGCTGGGGAATAAGAGAAGCCTATCAAGACCTTCACCTTCCCAGCCCTGTAGGAGACAGTGAGTCTGACCACAAGCACAGTACACCACTACTACAAGTCACAAACAACTATCATTTGAAAAAAACACTGCACTAAAGCTATCTATAACCAAGGAAGCCATACAAATCTTTGGCCCCCTAAAAGCACAAAGAAGCAAATCTAAAGAATCCTACCCAATGTATGCAACAGTATTATGCTCAAGGGAGATAAAAACCTAACCTAAATGAAAGTAAATTAAAAAGTAACAAGAGCTTCTACAGATGAGAAGGAACCAGAACAATAATTCTAGCACTGTGAAGAAACAGAATGTTGTGACGCCCCAAAGGATCACACTAGTTCTGAAGCAATGCATAGAATTTTGAAAGTATCAAGTATTCAAAATATGAATTGTAAGGAAGCTCAATGAAATCCAAGAGAAAGTTGAAAGCCAACACACACATACACACACACACACACAAAATATATATGTATATAAATATATATATCTTCAGAAAATAAAAAATTAACTGAAAGAATTGAAATCTCATGTGAAAGTCTTAACAGTAGTCTAGACCAAGCAGAGGAAACAGTTTCAGAGCTCCAAGGCTAGTCTTTTTAATTAACCTACTCACAAAAAAATAAAGATTTTAAAGATGAAGAAAGACTGAAAAATATGGGATTATATAAAGCAATCAAACCTAAAACAGGCATTTCTGAGAGAGAAAAACAAAAAGTAAGCAACTTGGAAAATACATTTGATGGAATAATTCAGGAAATTTTTTCTAATTTTGCTAGATAGACATCCAGAGAAGAAATTCAGAAAACACCTGCAAGATAACAGAAAATGACTATCATCAAGACACACAGTCATTAGAATACCCAAGATTAATGCTAACAACAAAAAATAATCTTAAAGGCAGCTAGAGAAAAAGGCCAAATCACAAATAAAGATAATCTCATCAGGCTAACAGCAGACATCTCAGCAAAAACCTCACAAGCCAGAAGATACCAGGGGCCTATTTTTAGCTTTCTTAAAGGAAAAAAAAATGCCAGCCAATAATATTATATCCTGCCAAACTAAGCATCATAAACAAAAGAGAAATAAAGTTTTTCCCAGGCAAGCAAATGTTAAGGCAATTTGTCACCACCAGATCAGTCTTACAAAAAACAAATGCTCAAAGGAAGTCTAAACTGAAAACAAAAGGACAATACTTGCTATCATAAAACCACACAAAAGTACAAAGTTCACAGATCCTATAAAGCAAATCCACAATTGAGACTACAAATCCACTAGCTAATGACACTATGAGAGACACAAAATCTCACATATCATTATTAACCCTGAATGCAGATGCCATAAAACTCCATTTAAAAGATATCAGTTGGCAAATTGAATACAAAAACAGGACCCAAACATATGCCTTCAAGAGACCCATGTAACATGCAATGGTACCTATAGGTGTCAG